>NC_000007.14:87355263-87658294 GCF_000001405.40 Homo sapiens
TAATTTTTGTATTTTTTGTAGAAATGGAGCTTTGCCATGTTGCCCAGGCTGGTCTTGAACTCCTGCCCTGAAGCAATCCACCTGCCTTGGCCTCCCAACGTGCTGGTGTTACAGACATGAGCCACTGGGCCCGGCCAAAAGTACATTTTTATATTCATAACTTTCTTCACATCTCTCTCTCCCTACTTGTTCCTTTTTACCTTCTTTCATAGGTAAATTTTAAATAAGCTCTAAATTATATAAAATTATTATTATTTTTCAACTTGGAGAATGTTCACTTCCCTCAATTGAGAGATGCTGAATTAAATAACCCAAAGAATGAAAATCATCAAGACCAGAAAAAAATGACAGGTGTAAACTTCAGGGCATGCAAGCACAGGGCGACATGTGTCACTAGCGAGACACAGACAGCAAATAACAGCCGATTAAGAAACAGTAGGTACTGACAAATACAACTCTGAGACTCAAATAGGTTATCCAACTCTGGGTGGGGCCTCTAACCTCAACCTGGGGAATATGAGTATTCCTGTGTCTCCTGGGGCCTAGAAGGCTGAGTATATTGCAAAGTATATTGCAGAAAGGAAAAGGGACAACAAAGGGAATGGAAGAGACAACAAAGAGCACTCACCTATACATGAATCCAAAAACTTAGGAAGCAAGAAACCTAGAACTATTTGTCAGATGTTAGCATTTTATAGATAAAATCATTCCACAATTTTATTTTATTTTATTTTTCTGAGATGAGATCTCACTGTTACCCAGGCTGGAGTGCAGTGGTGTAGTCACAGGTCACTGCAGCCTTGACCTCCCCAGCTCAGGTGATCCTCCAACCTCAGCCTCCTGAGTAGCTGAGACTGCAGGCAGGTGCCACCATGCCCTGCTAATTTTTGTATCTTTTGTAGAGATGGGGTTTCACCATGTTGCCCAGGCTGCCAACATTTTAGAAACATGTTTCCCATATTATAAACATTTCTTAATTGGAAATGACTCAGATATCCAGTGAGTCATGCCAGGAAAGCCATAGACCAAAATTTTGGGTAAAGTAGTCTTCATGAAAGTTTGAGGGTTTTTTATTTTTGTTTTTGTTTGTTTGTTTTGCCTTTTCACATTTTGTTTTTCAGTTTCAAATGAGTTTCTAACATGTACATTTCTTTTACAGTTCTGGTTGAACTGTACAAGAAAAACAAAATCTCTAAGTAACCTAAACATCAAGTTTTATTTCAATACTAGTAGACTAATAATAACAGATTCAAATCAGGCAGAAAAGAAGAGAAAAATAGAGAGCTTTAGAAGACTCTGTTTAATTTCATAGTTGCAGGGCAAAAGTAACCACCAGAATGATAACAGGCTGAAGCTTCAGATAAGAGAATGAGACTCCAGGTTTCCACAGGGGGCAAGCAGATAAAGATTGCTGCCTGTTTTAACATGGGGTGTAAAAGCATCTGAGTCCTGCAATGTTTAAGATATAGCAAGAACAGGCTGGGCACAGTGGCTCACGTCTGTAATCCCAGTACTTTGGGAGGCCAAAGTGGGCAGATCACCTGAGGTCAGGATTCAAGACCAGCTTGGCCAAGATGGTGAAACCTTGTCTCTACTAAAAATACAAAAATTAGCTGGGCGTGGTGGTGGGCACCTGTAATTCTAGCTACTTGGGAGGCTGAGGCAGGAGAATCGCCTGAACCTGGGAGGCGGAGGTTGCTGTGAGCCAAGATTGCACCATTGCACTCCAGCCTGGGTGATAGAGCGAGACTCTGTCTCAAAATATATATATCAAGAACAAATCTTGTAAGTCCTCAGGTTCCCCATGCTATCCTGAGACATGACAAAGCAAACGAAAAGGTGACAGTCAGAAGGCAAGTGTGGAAAGTGAATGCAGTAAACCTCTGGGCTGGCCATAGGGGCCACTGTAAAGCTGCAGTAAAGCAAAGGCAACAAGTTGGGAAGTGATGAGAAGTATAGCTTTCCCATATCTGGCAAAGGGGACAAAGTGGATTAGTCCAAAGCATATACTGGCGTACATCTTGCAAGGCTACTTTAATTTTTATTATACCCCAGGGACTCTCACCCCATTGGGCTGGGACTCTAACCCAAATATTATACCCTAGAGACTCTAACCCCATTGGGCTAGAAATATTATCCTTGATAGGATGCCAAGACAGACCCCATTTATCAGAGGTGGCCAATTAGTGCTGTGCAGGCTGAATCTCCTCAGCATGGGATCTCATCCTAATGTCCCTTTGTAGTCACCAGAACATGCTACCAGATAAGGGGTCTTGATCCAGATGCTAAGAGAGGGTTCTTGGATCTCACGCGGGAAGGAATTCAAGGTGAGTTGCAGAGTGCAGTGAGAAGAGACAGCTTATTGAAAGCTACTCCATTGCGGAGTAGAGCGTCCTCAGAGGGCAAGCAAAGGAAGGCACCATCCTTATTTTAAGTTTTTCTTATATAGAGCCTTTATCTATGTAAAGACTAAACTAAGCTACGTCTACATGTGGGTGAGCAGACAACATGACACAATTTATTATTCTATTGATTTAAATAAAACTATCCTTGACATTTTAGTGTGTAAATACATCCAAACATAACTGTAATTATCTTGAAAACATATATTGTTATGGGTATTGGGATACCTGGACTTTCTGCTGTTTAGGAGTGTGTCCTTGTAGGTATCTGTAGGCTGTTCACTCAACTGTAAATATCTTCTTAATGTGGGTCATGACCAGCAAGGAATTGTGCCTTGTTAGTCTCCAGATGGAGCTGAAATTAAAACGGCATTACTCTGGCTCTCCTAAGCTCCTGCTTCCTTAACAACACTGTTAGAAGTTGAAGGTTTAATTGCTTCTTTATCTAGACTTGTAATAAAGTATAGGTGACTCTTGAACAATGCAGGGCTGGTGGTGCTGACCCATGTGTATTAGAAAATCCAAGTACAGGCCGTGCGCAGTGCCTCACGCCTGTAATCCTAGCACTTTGGGAGGCGGAGGCAGGTAGATCACGAGGTCAGGAGATCGAGACCATCCTGGCTAACACAGTGAAACCCCGTCTCTACTAAAAATACAAAAAAAAAAAAGAGCCAGGAGTGGTGGCGGGCGCCTGTATTCCCAGCTACTCGGGAGGCTGAGGCAGGAGAATGGTGTGAACCCAGGAGGCGGAGCTTGCAGTGAGCTGAGATTACGCCACTGCACTCCAGCCTGGGCGACAGAGCGAGACTCCATCTCAAAAAAAAAAAAAAAAAAAGAAAAGAAATTCAAGTACAACTTTATAACGTAAACAGTTGATTAACAGATAATTTTATGTTATATGTATTATTTTCTGAATTATTTAAGTTAGAGTAAAGCAAATGTTATTAAAAAATGATAAGGAAGAGAAAAATATATTTATTATCCATTAAGTGGAAGTAGATCATCATAAAAATCTTCATCCTGATGGTTTTCATGTTGAGTAGGTGGAGGAAGAGGAGGGACTGGTCTTGCTGTCTCAGAGGTGGTAGAGGAGGTGGAAGTAGGGACAGGAGAGGCAAGCACACTCATTATCAACTTTTATTAGGTATAAATGGACCTGTGCAGTTCAAACTCGTGTTGTTCGAGTCAACCATGTCCTTAAAATATCCAACTTTTTTTCTCTCTTTATGTTAATTTTTCCAGAGTTTGAAAAGCCAGATAGTGTAAATAGGCTTGTGATGAAAAATGCAGTCCTTTGCCCATCTCCCTGGCTCCCTCCCGACTTGCTAATCCCATTCTCTCAAGCAAGGATTTCCAAATCTTTTGTTTCTTTTCCGCCACTTTCATGTTGTCAACTCTTAATTTTATTGTTCTGCTCTGCTATTTAATACAGTACTGTGTTTTACATATCTGAGTCTTAAGATTTGCATAAGTTAGTAATAATAGAGGTGAGTTGGTGGTACTTGGTCTAAATACCTTAATACGTATTTTTCCTTTCTAGTGAAACCATTTGCAAATCAAGAAGAATATAAGAAAACTGAAGAAATAGTTCAAAAATTTCAAAGTGGGATTGGAGAAAAATTGCACCAGAAATTGCTTGAAAGAGCAAAAGGAAAAAGAAATTGGGTATTTGTTGTTATAATTGAATAATGATGATGTTTAAAGAATGATAAATAAAAAGTGCATAGTTTTTATTTTTAAATTATTGCTGTAAAAATTTTTACAGTTATTATTGTTATTTTCATAATCCAAAAGAAGGAATGAATCACTTAACTTTGGGAGTTTTCAGTGGGTGGATTCGGGAACTTGTTAAAATGCAGATTTGCTGGGATAAGTGATTCTGATTCACATGGCTGGAATGAGGCCCAGAGATTCTTATTTTAACAATCACTTCATGTGGTTTGGCTGCAGGTAATCTGTAGACCATGCTGAAGGAAAACATTTTGTCCAGGTGACTAGCTTGAAAAATCAGAAACACTAAAATAGACATGTCACATAGGTGGCATAGAAATATTTTCGTAGTACAATGGAGAAAGGGAATCATTAAAAATCAGAGTGGAGAATGGTTATGTATATTGTATATTTCAGTTAGATAAATTGAGGAAGCTAGTATAATAATTATTGAAGGTCTCAATAATTTTCCACAAAATTCTTTAACTTCTTCAGCTCAACCATTTCTGTACTTCTCTACTATGAATCAGAGGATGAGGTTGTATAATTCAAAAGCATTGCCTTAGTCTAGAAATAATTATTGTACCTATCATTTAGTTTTAGAAATAAAAAGCAAGCTGATTTTTTTTGATGAACCATTTATATCTGTGATGGAATAATAAAATTTCACACTTCCGGATTCCTTTGTTCTCAATTTTGAGCCTTGAGTTGTTTTAATTAAAGAGGGGTAAAGGTAAAGAAGTTGTTGTTTTATCTGTATCTTTTTTGTTTATGTCTCTTTCTGAATTACTAATTATAGTTTATAACATCACTTTCTTCAAACAAGACTCCAGGTAATTTGATAAGATGTGCTTACTTATGCATGGAATTCAATTGCATATTGTGAAAGAGGGACACATAGAAAACAGTGTCTGTGAAAAATCTAAATTACTTTGAAGCCTACTGAAAACTTTTATTTATTTGTTTTATTTATTTATTTTTTGGAGACAGAGTCTTGCTCTGTTGCCCAGGCTTAAGTGCAGTGGTGCAGTCTCGGCTCACTGCAACCTCTGCCTCCTGGGTTCAAGCTATTCTCATGCCTCAGTCTCCCATGCACCTGGAATTGCAGGTGCGCACCACCACACCCAACTGATTTTTGTATTTTTTGTAGAGATAGGGTTTTGCCATGTTGGCCAGGCTGGTCTCAAATTCCTGGCCTCAAGTGATCTGCCTGCCTCCGCCTCCCAAAGTGCTGGGATTACAGGTGTGAGCCACTATGCCCAGCCAGTTTTTATATTTCTGATTTAGTATTGCAGTTTTTGTTTGGAAAAGGAAAATTGTTAATGCCTTAATAACTGTTATTATTAGGTAAGGATTTATTGATTATCTATTATGCCCCAAGTACTCTGAAGAAACACCTATGTACTTTATTGCATACTTGTGACTACAATACAATGATATTTCTGAAGGTATCTTTTGGTGCTTTCTTGATACTCGTTTTTGATAGTGTAGTTAAAACAAATAATACCTAAGATCCTATAGCTCCCCGCTGAAAAGAAATTATCACAATAACATTTCTCAATATCTATGATGATTTAAAACAAGAAAACATGTTTTTATTTATTTATTTTTGAGACAGGGTCTTTCTCTGTCACCAAGGCTGGAGTGCAGTGGTGCAATCATAGCTCACTGCAGCCTTGAACTCCTGGGCTCAGGTGGTCCTCCTGCCTCAGCCTCTTGAGTAGCTAAGACTACATGCAGGCCCAGCTAATTAATTTTTTTTTTTTTTGTAGAGACAGGGTCTTTCTATGTTGCCCAGGCTGGCCTCTAGGTCCTGGACTCAAGTGATCCTCCCACCTTGGCCTCCCAAAGTGCTGGGATTATAGGTGTGAGTCACCTCACCCAGCCAAAAAACATGTTTTTAAATGTTGAAGAATAATTAAAGAACAAATATAGCTTGCTTTTTAAAATTCCCAGTAGTTACACATTCATGTATTATGAAGAACATTAAGCTGATGTTCTCAATTTCTTTTAGCTGGAAGAGTGGTGGCTGAATGTTGCCTATCTGGATGTTCGTATACCATCACAATTGAATGTCAACTTTGCGGGTCCTGCAGCTCATTTTGAACACTACTGGCCTCCAAAGGAAGGGACTCAATTAGAAAGAGGAAGTATAACTCTTTGGCATAACTTGAACTACTGGCAGCTATTAAGAAAGTAAGGACACATGTGAATTTAGTGACAGGCTTACCTGAAGTCTCAGGTAGCAAAATGTTGAGAAGCTTAATTTACTTATTTGGGGATGAACACTTCAGTTGTGGCTGGTTTTTAAATTTTATAATGACTTTTTGATCAAAATCCTTTTTTTAATAGAGAAAAAGTGCCTGTTCATAAAGTTGGAAATACTCCTCTAGATATGAATCAATTCCGAATGCTATTTTCTACCTGCAAGGTTCCAGGAATTACTAGAGACTCCATTATGAATTATTTTAGGACTGGTAAGTAAAAATGCAGATATCGTTTTTAGTAAAGGCACTGGAATTTGGGTAGCCTACTATGACGTGATGGAACATACACTTTTGAAGAATATTACTGTTGGGACTTTGACAAAGAAAGGTTTTCTGTGAGCCTTATATTTGAATCATTCTGATTAGATGTAATTTATGGGAACGGATTTTCTAAATGTATCTTACATGGTTCAACACAAACCTGATGCTTATATTTCATCATTTGAAAGTTTAAAGTTTACTTGAAGAGTAGAATCAGAGTATTAAGAAAATCCTGAAACATGAAACATATGATCTGGATGCTTCTCTTTCTACCCTCATTTTTTATTACCTGAATTGTCTTTTTGAGTGTTTACTTATATGTGCTTATCATGCCACAGTCTCCCTGTGAGTCTGCTTGTCCCTCCACCTTATATGAGGTAAAAGCCTGGAGTCACTCTTCCTTTTTTTTTTTTTTTTTTTGTTTGAGACAGGGTCTCACTCTGTTGCCCAGGTTGCGACCTCAGCTCACTGCAACCTCCACCTCCTGGGCACAAGTGGTCTTCCTGCCTCAGCCTCCTGAGTGGCTGGGACTATAGGCAGGCACTGCCATACCTGGCTAATTGTGTATTTTTTGTAGAGATGGAGTTTCACCATGATGCCCAGGCTAGTCTCAAACTCCTGGGCTCAAGCAGTCTGTCCGCCTCAGCCTCCAGAAGTGCTGAGATTACAGGCATGGGCCACCATGCCCGGCTTGGAGTCACTCTTCTTAGAGACACATGAGTTCAGATTGACTCATCAATTTTTTTTTTTAAACTGGCAGTTTAATGGCAGTTTCTGCTTGGTGTCCTAGCTTATCTTGAAATGGAAAATTCTGCTGTGGTAACTGTTTTTTTCACAGTTTACACTTACTGAAGAGTATAATTGTGAATGGATTTTTTTCTTACATAAAATGTTATTTAAAAGTAAAATATTTATAGCCAATCATGCTCATAGTATGAGGGGTATGAGCTTACTTTCATGTAGAACTCAACTCTTCTTTGTAAACTTCTTTACATGCTTGAGATATTTAATGTCCTCAAGCCCACATATATTTACCTTGATGTTACCAGTGAAACAATTAAAAGATTAGGGAAACTGAGTTATTCATGGTCTAAAGTTTAATGTGCAAATATGAATGGAAAAAATGAACAAGATAAAATTAATGTAAGAAGAGCAATAGCAAAAAGAGAAAATATGCATATCAGTTAAGAACTAATATCAATAGACCTGCTTTTGAATTGTCTTTATCGCTTAGTAGGTATATCCTTAGATAAGGTAACTCTTTTGGGTTATAGTTTGTAAAATGGGGATTCATTAATAATGCATCTCTTGATATGGTGATTGAAGCTGACATAGTTATTATATTTTGGGGCTTACATGTGAAGACATGTAGAGATAGGGATAAAGTGTGAGGTAGACATGAAAAAATCAGAATTCATGGCAAATAATATACAGAGAGTTCAAATAAGATTAGTAACTACATGGCAATTTTATATTAGATAGTCAGGGAAGGCCTCTCCAAGGATCTGAATGATAAGATGAACCTGCAGAGTTTTTTGGCTTTCTTTTGTTTAGTTCACTTTTGTTGTTGTTGTTACTTTTTGTGTGTGTTGAGGGCAGAATGCTCTGGGCAGGAATAAACTTGGCAGGTTCAAAGGGCAGTATGGATGGAGCAGAGTACACAGGAGGGAGCTGGATGGCCAGATTGGAAAGGTGACTAGAAGGTAGATCATATAGTACTTTATAAAACAAGGTAAGGTTTTTGGCTTGCGTTTAAAATGTGAACAGAAACTATTAGTGAGTTTTGATAAAAAGAATGATGTGACCAGATTTATGCTTTAAAAAAGATCATTCTACCTACTGTTTGAAGAATAGACTTTTAGAGGTGAGACAAGTTTATAAGCAGGGAGGTCAATTAGAAAGTTGTTCTTGTATTCCAAGTAAGTCATGATAATGGCTTGTACTAGGATTATGGCATTGGAGTGGTGAGAAGTTATACTCTGGATGTATTTTGGATTTTGGGTTAGCAGGAATATTCATATATTGGTTGTAAGATATAAGAGAAAAATAGGAATCAGATTACTTCAACATATTTGGCTTGAGCAGCTAACAGGGTAGGTGGGTACGTAGGTAGATTCATGAGGTGGGAAATATTGGGAGGAGATGATTTAGGGAGGAGAAGCAAGTGGTCTTTAAACCGTCTTGAATTTAAGATGCCTTTTAGACATCTAAGTGGAAATGTACATAGGCAGTTGGATTCAAGATTTGTAGTTTTGGGAATAGCTCAGGACTGCAAATTACAGACTTAGGAGTCATCACTACCAGGCATAGAAAGCAACTGTAAATCCATAACAGTAGCCAAGGTTACTTTTGGGACATATGTAAAGATGATCAGTGCTGATCCTTATCACAGGTTCAATACTGTATTTTCCAATCAGAGGAGGAGGAGCCAGCAAAGGAGACCAAGGGAAGTAGGAAGAAAACAAGGACAGTGGTCTCCCAGAGGCCAAGAGAAGGAAGTGTTTAATGCTTCTGAGAAGTCAAATGAGGTAAAAATGTGACCATTGGATATGTAAACATGATGTGGACAGAGGTTGCCCTTGACAAGAGCAGTTTTAATGAAAGTTGAAGAGGGAACCCCAGCTGGAAGAGATGAAAGCAGATTGATGAAGTGGTGGTAACATTTGGAAATAATGCTTGCAAGAAAAGTTTTGATGTGCACTGGGAGATCAAAAATAATTTTTTAAAGATTGTGATATTACATCATAGGCATTGTTACAGGAGAGGAGGAAAAATAATCTTGCAGGGGAGAAGATAAGGAGCCAAAGTCATTGAGAAGGTAAAAGCCAAGAGGATCAAGAGCAGAAAGGTGGAGGGGTTGGTCTTTGACAGGATCAAAGAAGAGAGGCAATTAGGAGGGAATGCAGAAAGTGTGAATCTAGAAGCAAACAGATTGGCCAGTTTTGTTGTAGGAAGATGAGGAGGTACTTTTTATTGCTTATGTTTTTAGTGAAATAAGAACTGAGGTCATCCACTGGGGTGGATGATTTGAGGAGAAAGGAGGTTTGAAATAGTCTTTTTGGAAAGTGGAAAAAACAAACATGCTGTGGAAATAATGGAGTTACTGAACACTGCTGAGTGCCCATTTGAGATGTGTGTTCATGCATTTAAAATTAGACGAGATGACATGCTGTGTTTTTTTCTTCAGCATCAGTGAGGGGCAGGAGGGGCAGGTGCAAAGGAAGAGGGGCTGAAGGATTAAAGTTTTTGTAAGGGAGAAATAATTTGGGGCCATTGAATCTATCATGTGTAAAGTGAAAATTGGGCCAGGCCTGGTGGCTCATGCCTGTAATCCCAGCACTTTGGGAGGCCTAGGTGGGCAGATCACCTGAGGTCAGGAATTTGAGACCAGCCTGGCCAACATGGTGAAACCCCATCTCTACTAAAAATACAAAAATTTAGCTGGGCACAGTGGCTCGCGCCTGTAATCCCAGCTACGCGGGAAGCTGAGGCAGGAGAATCACTTGAGCTCATGAGTGGGAGGTTGCAGTGAGCCGAGATCATGCCACTGCACTCCGGCCTGGGCGGCAGAGTGAGACTCCATCTCAAAAAAAAAAAAAGAGAGGGAGAGAAAATTGAAAAAATGATGTGTGTTGATGGGATGGGCAGAATTTAAGCCACTGAGGTTAGTCTCAATAAGGAGGCTATAATTAAAACTAGTTTTTTGTTTTTTGTTTGTCTTTTTTTTTTTTTTTTGGTCTGTCACCTAGGGTGGAATGCTGTGGTGTGATCACAGCTCACTGCAACCTCGACCTCCTGGGCTCTAACAGTCCTCCCACTTCAGCCTCCTGAGTAGCTGGGACCAGGCACATGCCACCACACCTGGCTAATTTTTGTATTTTTTGTAGAGACCGAGTTTTGCCATGTTGCCCAGGCTGGTCTCGAACTCCTGAGCTCAAGCAATCTGCCCGCCTCAGCCCCCAAAGTGTTGGGATTACACGTGTGAGCCACAGCACCTGGCCTGTTGTTTATTTATTTGTTTTTACCTACCCCCTAGGAGACCATTAAGACTAATTCAGTCATACCTTTCATCCCTGTTTACCACATTTACACAAAAAGCCCAGACTGTTCATGTTATCCCTTGTCAGCTGGATTCACGGATTTGTGCATGGTCTAATTTGATCCAAATTTCCCATTGCTCTGATCTACCCTCACGACTTCCCCAAACCCTTCTGCTGTACTTTCTGGAGCTCACGATCAGCAAAATCCATTATATCCTCAACCTTTTCTCTAAAAGATGTTACTAAAGCTTGATTATTCATTAAGCTTACTACTTCCCCTGTACCCTCGCAAGGGGGAATTTTTTTTTTCTTTTATATAGCACTACAGGGCCTGTGGGAGGTGTTGGTATCCTTTTTGTTTCCCTCTGCCCTTTCTGTTTTCCCTTCGTCCTTAACAATTTTAGCCTTTTTGGGGAAAAAAAAATGCCTTCAGGTTATATCACCACTACATTGTTGCAGTGACTTTCCTCCTGCCCATTCCCCTTCATCTATTGATTGCTTTAGCTCCAGTGCCTGTCTTTCTTTCCATTACTACCTCAGTCATATTCTTGATGATTTTAGCTTTCAATTGTAGACGATCCATAGGCTCTCATTTCCTTCAGTTTATAGCTCTAGGAAACTACATCTTTCAGTACTCCAACTCAGCTGTTCCTTTGGCCACATTGTGATTTACAGTTTAATGATGCTACTGCTCTCTTCATGGCTCCATTCCTACTTCCCCGTCTTCACTTCTTTCTGGTTCTTCACCATCATTACTCCCAGGCATACACATTCAAATCTTTGCTACCTCTCCCCAGTACTGATGTGGTAAAACCTAAACATCGTTTAAAATTTAATTTGTCTTTTCTCTACATATCAAAGATACCTACTCTAGCAATTTACTTGGCCAGAGAAAACCATAAAACTTACTTAATGATCTCAGTTAAATCTCAAGTTGGCCCCCAGCACTACGGTGCTATCTTCCTTGGTTAGCTTATTCTTTCACTTCCAGAGAAGACTGTTTTATGCCTTTCGCTCTCCTTCTTGTTAGCTAACAAACTCTTGTTTTTCACAACAGATATGAGCAATCTTCCCATCATGACATTTACCAGCCTTTCAGTGATGGGCAGAATAATGGTCCCCCATAGATGTCTACTTTCTAATCCCTGAAATTGTTAATATGTTAGGTTACATGGTAAAGAGGAATTAAGGTTGCTAGTCAGTTGACCTTGAAATGGGGACGTTATCCTAGATTATTCACATGTGCCCAAAGTATATAATCACAAGGGTCCTTATTCATGGAAGAGGGAGGCAAAGGAGAGAACCAAAGAGATGGAAGTATGAGAAGGTTATGATCTTCCCTTGATGGCTTTGAAGATGGAAGAAGGGGTTCATGAGCCCAAGGAATGTGGATAGCCTCTAAAAGCTGGAAAAAGGAAGGAAACCAATTTTCTTCTAGAGCCTCTAGAAGGAACACAGCCCTGATGGCACCTTCATTTTAGCCCAGTAAGACACATTTCAGATTTCTGGTCCTTAGACCTGTAAGATAATAAATTTGTGTTGTTTTAAGCTACCAAGTCAGTAGTAATTTGTTTTTGCAACCAGTGAAAATATACTGATTCAAATATTTGCCCATTCTCTACCCCCTTGCAATATGTTACTGCAAATTCATATACTTTTCTTTTCTTTTTAAAATACAGATGAACTCCTCTGACTCCTAAGGACAACTCTTCTATATCTGTGCTGAGTCCCGCTTCCTCTTGCTTAGTCAAGAAACTTGCTTTTGCATTATCCTCTCTCTCTGCTGCTTATCAGTTTTTTTCTTTACTTGATTGTTCCAGTCTGTAATATCTTCCATCTTAAAAGGAAAACAATTCACCTCATGTCTCCTTCAAGTATCAGGCCCCAGTCGAAGCCATCATCCTATCTCTCTTAGATTGTTCTCACCTGGACAACTTTAGTCACCTCCTAACTTGGCATACCTTCTCTTCACCCTTGTAATCTGTTCTCCATGTAACAGCTGGAGGGATCTTTTTAGTGAGACCACATTATCACTCCCTTGCTTAAAACCATCCATTGGTTTCCTTCCCATCATACTGGAAACCACTTTCTGAGGCCAGTATAATCGGGTCTCAACCTTATCTACCACTCTATCCTTTTCTCTGTGCCGCAGCTGCACTGACCTTGTTTTCCTTTAAGCAGATCAACTCATGTTTATTCTAATGCCTTTGTGCTTGCTGTTTCCTCTGCCTGAAACACTTCTGCGGGTATTTACATGGCGTACTTTCTCACTCCATTCAGTTTTCTGCTCAAATATCCGCCAGGTTTATTGTGAGGTAGCACCCTTCTGCCACCCTCACCCTTTCCAACCATTTATTGATTAATTTGGCATCAGGTTTATTTTCTTTTTTCTTTTCCAGCCCTAAACTTTGAAAGGGGTGTGGTCAGGAGATGACAGCAATAAAAGAGTGGTGGTCGTAGAGGTAAAAGGATCTGGAGGTTTTTGAAGGGGAAGAAAGAAGAAATGGTTTGGAGGTAGCCATGAGGAACAAGGAAAACACATATCTCATCCCCTAGGTCTTGAGGAAATAAGGTATAAGAGAAAAAAGAGTATTTTTATCAGGAGACTGTTCTTCCTCATAGTTGATGAAAAGATTTCATAAGATAATGTATGTAAAGCACTTAATACTGACCCGTAAATAATACCCACCACTATATTTCCTTCAAGCGGCAGTGTATGTCTTCTCTTTCTTCCTCTTTTTCCATTTTCTTTTCTTAGAAGGTAGGGGCAGGGATCACATAAGAAGATCCTTGGCAAAAGGACAAGTACCTAAAGATGGGGTTATATCAGAATAGTCTGAGGTTTACAGCAAACAAACAGTTCTTGGGGAGTTAAGGTGTGCCAAAGAAATCAGAGATAATCCATTGTCAGTGGCTTACCAGGTGTTACCAGACTGGACAAAATTCTTTTCCTTTGCCACTGGCATACTGTATCCTTTTCTACTGAAAATTATTTTATTGAGTTATCATAGCTAGATATTACTGCAATTAAATTATCTGATGAGTAATTAACATTAAAATAATCCAAAAGAGAAACCTGTTAATTCAAATGGCTGTCCTCCAAGATTCCACTGGTCTCCTTCTCCCCTTCCCATTTCTGTTCCTAAGTAAAATTAGAAAGGTCTGTAGTAGTTTGGGATTTATGTGGTTTTCAGGGTATTTGAAACTCATTGATTTCTAGATGTCTCACATGGAACAAGTGTCAGGAGTATGTATTTATATCATAGTAACTGCAATTCCATTAATACATTATTTTTGTTATGTGATATATTTGATGACTATATGATAAATAAAATACTGGAAGAATGCCTACTTTTCTTCTATTGGATATATGCATCTTTACTCCTGTTTAACCTTAGATTTGAGTCTTGTGTTTTCTGTTTCTGTTTCCAGAGAGTGAAGGGCGTTCCCCAAACCACATTGTAGTGCTGTGTCGAGGCCGAGCTTTTGTCTTTGATGTAATACATGAAGGATGTTTGGTCACCCCGCCAGAGCTTCTCAGGTTTTCAGACTACTTTCTTGAGTTTCATTAGGTCTTATGGTGTTGCTTGAATTAAAATATACATGTTTAGAATTGCCTTTCAAGGTGATAGTAAGCTGAAAAATAAGAATTTTATGCATGCTTTTTTAAAAAAAAATCTATTTGTATTTTTTATTTAAATTATTTTTAAATTTTACTAGACATATATAAATATGTTCACTTGGAGAAAAGGAAAACATTACATATATTACCAATTCCATTCCCTGCCCCAGAATTAATCACTCTTACTAGTTTAGTGTGTTCCATTGTTCCATACCTGTTGCAATGAATTTACATGTATACCTAGCTTAAAAAATATATATAATATATAATATGTATTATATATGTATATACATATATATGGTATACATCTTCTATGTATATGTTTTAAAGTATATTACAGAAAATTTCAAAATGTATAGGGGATTATATAATGATAACTCCCGTGTACCCATCTCCTAACTTCAACAGTTACCAACTCCTAGCATCAACAGTTATAAACTCATAGTCAATGCTGTTTCAACTATACCTCTTTTACCTTTTCCCTCACTTTCCCATGGATTATTTTGAAGATAATCTGACATAATATCCTTTCACTATAGATATTTCAGTATACATCTCTAAAATAGAAGGACTCTTAAAATACACATTTAGTACCATTATCATACCTAATGACTTCTAAAAAATAATTTTTTTTTTGAGACAGAGTCTTGCTTTGTGTCCAGGCTGGAGTGCAGAGGCACAATCTCGGCTCACTGCACCCTCCACATTCCAGGTTCAAGTGATTCTTCTGCCTCAGCCTCCCAAGTAGCTAGGATTATAGGTGCGCACCACCATGGCCAGCTAATTATTGTATTTTTAGTAGGGATGAGGTTTTGCCGTGTTGGCCAAGCTGGTCTTGAACTCCTGGCCTTAAATAATCCGCCTGCCTTGGCCTCCCAAAGTGCTGGGATTACAGGCATGAGCCACCACACCCAGCCAAATAAACAGTGTTTTAATATCATTAACAGAGAATCAGTTGTTCTAATTGTTTTCTAATTGTTGGGTATATATATCTATTTATAACTTAAATTAGTTTTATTAAATATTGCAAACATGTACAAAACTGCACACAGAAATGTACAACTAAATATTCATGTAACCTGCACCCAGGTCAAAAATTAGAACATTTCTAATACTCCAAAGATTCCCGTCATCCCTCTTCCAGACTTTCACTCCTTCCCAGGGGCAGTCATTTAGGTTGTTTACAGTTTGCATTATTATTTGAAAAAGGCTGCTGTGAAAATCCTTGTGTAAGTCTTTTGGTGTACACATGCATGTATTTCTGTCTGGAGCACACCCAGGAGAGAATTTGCTGAGTCATAGGATATGTGTATGTTCAGCTTCAATAGATAATGCCAGTTTTCCAAAGTAGTTATGTCTACTAGTGTGTGAATGTTGTAGGAGTTCCTTACATTCTGGGTAAGAGTTCTTACTTGGTTGTGTGTGTTGCAATACACAGAGTAGAAGATGTTTATAATTGATCTTTTGTTCTATTAAACACATCTTCCTGATGAACAGAAGTTCTTAATTGAATGAACTCCAGTTTATTAATCTTTTAATCTTTACCATACAGATTATACATTTTGTGTTCTGTTTTAAAAAATTTTTCCCTAACTCAGTGCCAAGAAGATAATTTCCTATGTTCTAGAATTTTGTGTTGACTTTTACGTTTGTATTTATAGTCTTCCTAGAGTTAATTGATTTTTTTGTTTGACATGAGGCATGGGGTAGTTGCACATTTAAAAAATAGTGTTATTTTTATAGTTAGCTTCTTTTAATCAACAATAAATGTAATCTTTCCATATTGGTACAAATACATCTACCTTATTCTTTTAAACTATTACATAGAATTCCATCAAATGGATATATTATAGTTGATGTGACCATTTCTTTATGATATGACATTAAAGTTGTTTCCATTTGTTGCTATAACAAATAATTAACATTTTCAAACATGCCCCTTTTTGTATTTGGATAAAATATCTATGGTTTGATATTAGAAGTGAAATGTTCACATCATCTGATGTATACATTTAAAATTTTTGACTGAGTCAAATTGTCATCCACAGTGGCATTGTTTTTTCTGCCAGTATTATGTGAGGACACCCACTTCTCCTAATCATTGTTGACATGGTACTATTAAACTTAAAACATATCTGGTGAGTGGGGGACACAGTGGCTCATGCCTGTAATTGCAACATTTTGGGAGGCTGAGGCTGGAGGATCACTTAAGGCCAAGAGTTGAAGACCAGCCTGGGCAACATAGGGGGACCCTGTCTCTATAAAAAGTTAAAAAATTAGCTGGACATGATAGTGCTACTTGGGAGTGCTCCCAGCTACTTGGAAGGCTGGGGTGGGAGGATCACTTGAGCCCAGGAGGTCGAGGCTGCAGTGAGCTGTGATTACGCCACTGCACTCCAGCCTGGGTGACAGAGCAAGACGCTGTCTCAAAAAAAAAAAAACAAAAAAAAAAAAACAAAAAAAAGCTATATCTAGTCAACTGACAGGTGAAAAATGGTTTTCATTGTTGTTCGAATTGGCATATCCCTCATTACAAGTGAGGTTGAGCATTTTTATATGGTTTATATGCCATTTATTTGTGTTTTCTGTGAGTTACTTTTGCCTATTTTTCTGTTGGCTATTTTACTTTATCCTTATTGATTTATAGCAATTATTTATATAGTCTCTACATTAATCTTTTATACATTATGTGTGTTGCAAACATTTTCTTCCAGTTAACTTGAAACAAATTTTGGAAATTGTCCAATCTTAATTTTGATTTAGGCAAATTTATCTTTTTAATCATTTGCTTTTGTATCTTGGATAATATTTGTGTGTCTTCCCATTACATGTTTTAGTTAGTGTGTTTTAAATTTGACATATAATTATTAGATCAGGCTTATTAATTGGATTATTCAAAGCCACTCTTCCAGAAATTAAACACATGTGCTTCATGGGCTGCATTCAGCCTGTGACCTATTTTGCTTGGATAGCAGAATTTGAATCACTATTTAAAAATCAGGAAAATTTACATAAACATCTGGATTTCTGTTTTTGCCTTAAAAAAACCCAAAAGTTCTGACAACTACCAATCTACTTTCTGCCTCTATAAATGTGCCTATTTTATACATTTTATTAATATAGGAATGGCATCTTACAACATGTAGCCTTTTGTGTGTAGCTTCTTTCACTTAGCATAATGTTTTCAAGGTTCATCCGTGTTTTAGCATGTATGAATACTTTATTCCTTTTTATTGCTGAATAACATTCTATTTTACAGATATGCCACATTTTATTAACTATTCATCAGTTGATGGACATTTGAGTTGTTTCTACTTTTTGTCTATTATGAATAATAGACAAATAGTAAATTATTCATAATGCTGCCGTGACTATTGTATACAGGTTTTCATGTAAACATATGTTTTCATTTCTCTTGGGTATATTTTAGGGGTAGAATTGCCAGGTCATATGGTAATTCTATGTTTAACTATTGAGAAACTACCAGAGAGTTTTCCAAAATGGCGCAGTATATTAGGGTTCCAGTTTCTCCACATCTTCACCAACACTTATTGTCTGCCTTTTTTATTGTAGCGATGCTAGTAAGGGTAAAGTGGGATCTCGTTGTAGTTTATATTTGATAATGATGTTAAAGATTTTTTCACATGCATTTTGGCCATTTGTATATATCTTCCTTGGAGAGATGTCTAATCAGATACTTGGCCAATTTTTAAATTAGTTTGTTTTTTTATTATTGAATTGTAATCGTTCTTTAGATATAAGTCTTTTTACAGATATATAATTTGCAAATTATATCTCCTAGGCTTGGCTTTTCACTTTCTTGATGGCCTCTTTTGATGCACAATATTTTTCGTTTTGACAAAATCCAATTTTATCTCTTTTTTTGTTGTTACATGTGCTTTTGGAATTGTATCTAAGAAACCATTGCCTAATCTGAGGACATGAAGATTTACACATATATTATCTTTTAAGATCTTTTTAAAAAAAATTGTGGGAAGGGGGAGATAATGTTTAAATATACATTTAGTTGGAAATGTTGGCAGGAATCGAAGTAGAGATATCCAACAAGCTTTTGGAACTTTGGTAACAGAGATTGAGAGAAAAAATGGTGTTGAAGTTAGAGAGTTGGTTGCCTCTTACATAAAGGTGATCATTGAAACTATTAAAGAAGTAGACGAGATTACCAAGGGAGAAACTTATAAGAGGAGCTTGGAAAGGCCAGTGACAGAAATTTGGGAAAAGACACATTCAGCAGTGTAAGGAGAACAAATGGTCAATGAAAAAGACTTCAGTGACGTATGGAGACGACAATGGGACCATGTGAAAAAATCAAGTAAGAAGATAATTTTAACATTCATACCTGAGTGTCAAACATTCTATAATGAGGAAAATTAGACTTAAATAAAGCTACTAGGTTTCCTTAATGGGACATTATTGGTGACTTTCAAGATAATCACTGGAGAACAAAAATCGAGGACAGTAAATTAAAGAGTGAATGGAAAGCGATGAAGCAGAAGCCAGACTGTGTGGGTTATAGAATATTTAAAAAAATATATGATTCTGTAATGCAGATATTTTTAATACAAATCTTTGTGCTTTGAAATATAAAAAATTAGATGTGTAGCTGAAAAACAGGTGCATAGTTAGCCAAGTTAAAGGAAAAGAGGGATTATCTTGTTACCAAATCTGTATCTCTTAATGGTGGCGATTTGGGCAGTTATGTGACCTTTTATTATCAAACTTAAAATGTCATTTCAGGTTTAACACACTTTCCTTTGTAATTTCTCCCTAATAATGACCACCTTGTAAAACGAACATGAAAATGATCATTTCAGGGAGGAAGTAAAAGTTTCATAGTCAAAACTCGTGCTTTGAGGTAGTTGGTAAGGGAAAGGTAGCAACAAGTACCATATGGAGAGAAACAGGTTGATTTTATTTAGAAATTCAGAGTTTATGCTAGTAACCACAACTGCAAAAGCTTTACTTATAATTGGAGCAAAATCAGTAGTTACTAAAGAAAGTAAGCAGGAAGAGAGGCAAAGCAAGTTGCTCTGCTATAGATGCAGATTGGTGAAGAAACCCTTATTCTGTTCCTCAGGACACCATTAATTTGCAAATAACAAGGGGGGAATTTTTCAGCAAGAAATGTATTTCTTTATCAGTGTTACAGATATAATGAACAAACAGAGGAGAGTATGCAAATCAGTAGATAAATGATGAATTCCAATTTTGAATGATGAAGTCAGAACTGATGGCTACTAGTAGCATTTTTTGACCATTTATTAAGCTACATTAGCTCACTTCCTGAGAAATCCTTGAAAGCTTTTAAATTGAAGTAATTTCTTAACATGTGCCATGAAATTGAGCTAAATTAAAGCTCTGTGGATTTTTGACTGATGTAAATTTCTTTATGGGAGAACCCAGTTATTTATCTGCTGTATGTTTAAAGATACATGAAATTCACCAATCTAGGAGCATAAAATACTGTGGAGGGGGAGTAGTTTATCCTTAGCTAATAGAGTCTTTAAAAATATAATGATTAGAAGTAACAAAGTGGCACATATGAAAATAGTTAAAACTGATTATATGGTATTTCTATTTTTTTTTGGTAAAACACAAATATTAATTGAGTATACAGTAAGTCCTCTGGTTAAATATATACGCACATAGATTTTAGTTAGATAAGATGTACATTATATTTGTGAAATTGATTACCAGGATATTTTTCAAGTTCTCCATTGTAAGGATATTTACAGTAAAAAGGATATTTACTTGCAACCTAGAAGTGCATGCACATTTCCAAAGTATATATCAGCGAAACTAAATTTAGCCAATAACTAAATTTATTTACTGAAATTAAATTATTGTCAAATATGCTTTTGGTGTTAATAGAACACAATCACTTAAAAAAATATGTGATGTAGGAAATCTATTGGCATCATAAGTGGTTTCTTTGGGTAATATATCCAAACATTTAAATATTGATCAATGTTATGACCTTTTAAAGGCCAAAGTAGTTACTTTCTGCCTGTACTCTTTTTTAATCTTCTTTTCATCTTCCATAAGACAACTGACATATATCCACAAGAAGTGCCATAGTGAACCTGATGGACCTGGGATTGCAGCATTAACTAGTGAGGAGCGAACTCGATGGGCTAAGGTTCTGATTTACACTTTTCTTAACGAAGCTTTTCTCTAACAAACTCTTTTGATGTATTGTATTTCAGTTGTAATATTTGATCATCATCTCCTTGCCCTTTAGGCACGAGAATATCTGATTGGTCTTGATCCAGAGAACTTGGCTTTGTTAGAAAAAATTCAGAGTAGTTTACTGGTATATTCCATGGAGGATAGCAGTCCACATGTAACACCAGAGGATTATTCTGAGGTACTTAACTACCTTCTCTTTTTTTTTTTATTGCAGATTTTTCTGGAAGACTCATATTTATTGAACATGGAAGTTTTTTTTCTTTTTCTACCTTTAGGCTCTTGAAACTTTTTCTTAGTTATACAATATACTTGTGCCAAATTGAAGCTTATAAAGTAGATAGTAAATTGGTAAATCCTTGCCACATTGTTTAAGTTTGTTTAGCTATATATTATACTTTGTTTAAAGAAGTATGACTTTGCATATCACATATCAGTGTTGCTCAACCTTTTCATTGCTTGCCTACTCAGAAAATTTACACAGAGCACTAGGTTAATGAGCTTTTCTTGCCAAAGGTGAAATGATAACCTAATCATAACCTGCACTAGTGTATCTTGACACCATAGTTGGGACTGTGTCTCCTAAGAATTATGTCACCCTTGTAAGTCATTTATTTTATCATTTGGTTAATTGCTGAACACATTGATGTCAGTGACGTTAAGGGTAAATATGGCCTTATTTTATGCTCCCCTGCCACCCCCAGGGTGACATTTGTGTCCCAGGAAATAATAAAAGATAGTAATTGTATTAGAAATCTCATAGTCTTTTGAAAATACTTAATTATTTTATAGTGAATTAATCGGTATTAAATAATAGGAAAAAATATCAAGGATTGGAAAACCTTGTAGCAAGGAGAGAGATTTTTTTTTTTTTTTGAGAATCACCAGACTTCTTTTTAAGGAAGAATGTATTTTAATGCAGTGTTGTTCAAAGTTTTTTGACCACAATTTTTAGTTACAAATACATTTAGATTGCAGCCCACTATATATACATGTGTATATGCATGCAAACACATATATAAAATAGGAGTTTCACAGAGCACTAATTACTTTTATTGTCTGTGAGGTACACTGATATTTCCAGTCTATTTTATTCTCCTTTTTTGTAAGGAATATTGATTATGATGCACTGAGTTAATTTCATGATCCATTAATAGGCCAAAGTATACAGTTTGAAAAACAGGTTTAGTAGGAAACGAATTCTTAAAATATTTCCTCCTAACTAGACTTTAATGACTAAACTTTTATCAAGATCTTTTATCCTATTCAAGTTACAAAACCCTTATCCTCTCAATTCTATGTTCTGTAAACATTCATGAATATTGTACCAGCATTTTCTTTTCTGGTAGGATTTTCTTAACTTGAGATTTTGAGAAGCCCCTAAAGTCAGGGCCAGAATTACTCTCTCTTGACTTTGCATATCACATATCAGTGTTGCTGATCATAACTATATTATGATTTTATTAAATTTGGTTGACGTGAAGAGGAATGGTGAGATGATATATGTGTTTAAGATGTAAATTCTTACAAACCAATATTAAACCCTTTTAATTTGGAAAAATTAAATTTATTTTAGATTATTGCAGCCATCCTTATTGGAGATCCAACAGTACGCTGGGGTGACAAATCCTATAACTTGATTTCCTTTTCTAATGGAGTATTTGGCTGTAATTGTGATGTAAGTAAACTACTGAAATTTTTCTCTTTTGATCTTTTAGGTTAAATTAATGACAATAAACCATAAATACTTGTGCTGGGGAACAGTGTAAGTGAATAGTAATTTAGTTTTATGGCACTGTGGTGAAAAGTTTAGTTATGAATTCTCATTGAAAGTATAGGACAAGTTATTTTCTTCTGTAGTAAGGCCAACAGTTTGTTGTGTACTATATCTGCAAAATGGGATTTGCATATAATATTTATGTAATATAAGCTCTTAAAACCCAGTATTATCTGCTTGCTGAGAATACCTATTTCAAAAGGTATTATATGGCATTATGTATGTGTTCTATGCAGAGCAATGCATATGGATATATTTATAGAGTTCAAGATTCACCTAGTAACTAGGTAACTATTTTCCTAAAATGACACATAATCTTTGGAACACTATTTAGGCTGTGGATATTAAAATGGCAGTTACTACCATTTTGACCATTTTCATAAAAAATGAACAACTTTTCTTGCTTCTCCTCTGTTCCCCTCCCATGGACATCTTCACTAGCTGTCTACTAACTGTCTGATAGGCATTCAGGAGGTCTATGAACCAAGAAAATTTTTTATAAAGGGGTTTGGGGCTGGGTATGATGGCTGATACCTGTAATCCCAGCACTTTGGGAGGCCAAGGCAGGTGAATCACTTGAGCCCAGGAGATGGAGACTGGTCTGGGCAATGGCATGAAACCCCGTCTCTACAAAAAATACAAAAATTAGCCTCACATGGTGTTGTGCGCCTGTGATCCCAGCTACTTGGGAGGCTGAGGTCTAGGAGGATCGCTTGAACCTGGGAGGTTGAGGGTGCAGTGAACAGTGTTTGGGCCAGTGCACTTCAGCCTGGGAAACAGACTGAGACTCCGACTCCAAAAAAAAAAAAAAAAGGGTTCAGTAGTTGTATTAATCCATATTCAGGTTTAGGTGATAGAAACCTAAATCAAACTAGCGTTAGCGTAAGAAGATATTTGTTGGCAAGGAGTTAGCTAAATTTGGGTAAAGCTGACTTCAATGTTCAAATGCTTTCATTAGAAATCTCTCCCCATTTTTTGGTACTGCTTTCTTTTGTTTGGCCTCATATTTAGGTAGACTGCCCAATGTGATTGTTGTACCAACAGTCTCATATCTTCATAGCTTTCTTCATAGACTCCCAAAGGAAATAGTCAGCTTCTTTGTTTCCAATGGTTACAGCAAAAGTCCTGGAATAATCCTCATCAGTTGTGATTGGCCTGTGTGATTCATGTCCCCATCCTGGGGAATCAGGTGCTTGGATGAGCTTGGCCTGGGTCACATGCCCAACCTTGGAATCTAGTGGGTAGAATCAGTCTCATTCAAACCACTACAAAGTGGTGCTTGGTTGCCTAAAGAACAGTAAAGTAGCTGTTATTTCAGAACAAGGTGGATTGGTTAATAGGCACTGAAAGTAAATGTCTATTGGAGTATCTCATCAGAGCTACAGTGAAAAGTTGCCACAAGTCATTTATTTTGAAGATGTTCTCTTTACTCTTCCTTTGAGTCTACTGTTGACAGAATAGTTCTTGTTAATTGCCTCAGTTTTCTTCTCTTCAGCTCCTCATTTGATTCTCCTTGACCTTCCTCAGTCTGGTTTATGTCCTTACCATTCCTTGCAAACTACCCTTTGTAAGGTGGTTAACTGCCCCCTGGCTTCTTCCCTTCATTTCCCTTTGACCTGTCTGCTGCAGTTGGTTACCCTCTGCATACATATTTTGACACTGCCTCTTTCCTCTTAACAGTATTTTCCTCTCTACTGATTCTGAAACTGACCTTAATATTCATCACACTTTTCCCCCTCTGACCACTTTATTGACCTATTGTTATATATGTAACTTGCAGCTATACTTTTCTAGCTTTTACCTATTATTCTCATTTGAGAGTTGTGTTTCATTATATGTTAAATTGTTCAAATTGGATGTTATATTGTTATATAAGAGTAAGTCAATCTCATCAAGAATAACTCATCTTGCTTTCCGTCCCTCATCCCCAAGACCATCAAAAAACACCTTTTGCTAAACTGATTTTTACTAATAGCACCAGTATCCTGCTGTTCACACAAATTCAAGATGAAAATAATTTTGATAATCTTGTCTGTCTCTGAATAAAGAATATTGGGCTCATAATGAGCATATCTCTCAGCATAACTGAACTGCTTTTTTATAGTGTGCGGACATGTTTTATGTGTGTGCATTAACATGCATATATTCATAAAATTGATCTGATTATCTCCACCTGATAATTTGCATTAAATTCCATGGAGGTTTCCCTTCTAACCTAAGATGATTATAGAGGGTGCAGTTTAACCTTTGTAAATCATCATTAGTGAAATACATATGCTGTAGGCCAAACATGGGAGCTCATGCCTATAATCCCAGCACTTTGGGAGACGAAGGTGGGAGGATTTGATTCCAGCAGTTCAGCACCAGCTTGGGCAACATAGTGAGACCCTCATCTCTACAAAAAATAAAAAATTAGTTGGGCATGGTAATGCATACCTATACTCCCAACTACTTGGGAGGCTGAGGTGGGAGGATCACTTGAGCCTAGGAGGTCCAGGTTGCAGTGAGCCATGGTTGTACCACTGCACTCCCACCCAGGCAACAGAACAAGACCCTGTCCCAAAAATAATAATAAGAAGAAAAATAAGCATATGTACTGTAAAATAAAGCTTATTTTACCCTAAAGCCATGTTGCTGGTCCATAATTTTAATTGTTTGAATATGTTCTTTTGTGATTATATTAATTCCATTTCCCTCCTATTTTATAAACCTGAAGTCAACTATATTGTCTTCTCTATATTGTAGGCTTTATTGTAAGGCTTTGCAGAGGGTGCATAGGAAGCATGTAAAAACTTTAGTTAATAATAACAATAGTTACTAATTATTGCTGTGAGCTAGATCCTTGGTAAGTACTGTGTAAGTGGTATAAAAATCATTTTTCACAGCATCTGTATGTATGTATGCATTATCTCTACAGGGAAATGAGGCAGTTTAATTAGAAAGCAAAGTAACTTTTTTACTATTGCCCAGCTAGGAAGTAGTTTGAACTCAGAACCAAAGCCTACATTCTTAAACACTATGTAAATACATATTGCCTCTGTGTAAGTGCAAGAAATGAAAGGTAAAAATTATGTGAACAAATAAAGCATCAGGATAGCATTGGAATTTTATATATTTTCTACCTTCTTTGAGATTATTAGCTTTCCATTAGGAGATGGGTGCTTAGAATTATAGCTCAAAGAGACATCCTTCACTCTTGCTATTTCCTACTGGCTCCAGTAAAATAGTTGGAAACTGATGCTGTTTGTCTTAAATGAAACAATATATTTGATAATATCTGAAAATTCTTTGTAAAATTGTAAAGTACCACACAGTTGTGAGATACTGTTAGAAAATGGGTTTGTCAGCGACCTGTGAGTCTTGTCATGTGTGCTGTTGTTGGCAGATAAACTGCTCAGGCATCTTATACTGACCTCCCTCAAGAGCCTTTCCTGATGTAGTTGTTGCCTGGTTGGTAACAATAAATCCTGTTTATAGGCTCCGCTGGGCCATGATACAGGCTACAGAGCTATAGTGTTAGGGTGACATTTAAGACACCTAATTACTCCTCTGAAACTGGGCCCATATCTTGATACTACTTCCCTTCTTTCCCTCCCAAGCTCGCAGTGTCACGTTCAGATCATGAATGATATCTGTGTCTAATGTAAAGTGGTGACAGTCACAAGGAACCGTCTGATGTAACTTTTATCTAAGGAACATGGGGAAAATGCGGGCAAAAACTTTGTTCTTCAAAATAGATGATGGGAAAATTCACTAACTGCAATTTCTTTCTCTAAATACACCTGGCAAACCTGAAACAGCCCCGTAACACCCAGCCTATCTTTCCCACATTTCTTAAACTGAGAATTATCACATTGGGACATTCATATGTATAAAAAACACAAAATGGTTATGCTTTCTAATATTCACTAAGTGGCCTAAGTCCTTACCTAAAGAAGTTCATGCCCATCCCAAATGCTTTCAGATAGGTTGCCATCCCCATCTGCTTTTCCACCCTGTTCTTACAATTCCAGAACATCTTCGTGTTGCATATATACACTTGCTTTGACTTCTAGTAAAAATAGCAATTAATTTATCTAGATTGTTTATATGTTATTTTATACACCCTCATGACCCCAAGCCCCACCAGAAGCCCTACTAGGTGCTTCCAAATTTAAACAACTTTTTTTCCAAAAAATAAAATATAGCAGTTACTGAACTGTAGGGAATCTTCTATCTTATCATATCCTCAAGAGGTGAGGCATTTGAAGACTCTATGCTTTATTATCTGTTAAGAATGGACACAAAGTGAAAATAAAATATTGGGTCAAGTTTTAAGTTGACATAAAGTATTCAGAAATCTTGTGTGTTCTCATTTTAGCATGCTCCTTTTGATGCAATGATTATGGTGAACATCAGTTATTATGTGGATGAGAAAATTTTTCAGAATGAAGGAAGATGGAAGGTATGTTTGAATAAATATTTCATCTTTTTTCTCCTAATAGTTCTATAGATAAAATATTTTTAAGTCTTCCCTATTTTCAGGGTTCAGAGAAGGTACGAGATATACCACTTCCAGAAGAGCTCATTTTCATTGTGGATGAGAAAGTTTTAAATGACATCAACCAAGCTAAAGCCCAGTATCTCAGGGAGGTATATTTTTCACTTTTCTCTTAAATAATAATGATTTTTTCTTTTAACAACCATATGTAAAAATTTGGCTGTCATCCAAGCATGTCTGCACAAAACATTTTAAAATTATGCCTTTAACACCTTTAATTCTTTATGTCTGGTGATTACTTTAATGCAGGTGATAATTTGCTTCTCTTTGGTGTATTCTCCTTAGGTGATTTTTCACCGTTCTCATTTAATTCTTCTTGTTAGGCATCTGATCTACAGATTGCGGCTTATGCCTTTACATCTTTTGGCAAAAAGCTAACCAAGAACAAGATGCTTCACCCGGATACGTTTATTCAGCTTGCACTTCAGCTGGCCTATTACAGACTTCATGGACAGTAAGGACCATTCAGTTTCTATTTTCACAGTCTTGAAGTCCAAGGGTATATCTTTTTTTATAGCTATTTCATCCTAACTCCTCAGTATTTTTGCTCACTTTTTTCCCAGCTGGTACTGTGTCCTATTTGTACTTCCATCAATAGAGTATTAGATTTCTGATCTGTGGTGGTTTCACAGTTTTTCCTTGTTACTTTATCACAGTATCCACTTGATAACTTTTGACGTGTCTATTCTCATCTGAAAGAGGATTGGTCATCTTTGGCATTCAGATCGCTTGGTTTTCTTGCAACGTCAGTTTTCTGATGGGTTCATGAAAAGTTGTGATTTTATAAATTATCCAGCCTTTACTCATTTTTAGAATAGGAGCGACATTAATTTTGTGACTTAATACATCCTAAGAAGAAGTAGAAGTCCCTCAATGTTGCTTTTTCATTGATAAATAAGTTATAATTGAACATATTTATCAGGTACATGTGATTTTTTTGATACATGCATAAAATGTGTAATGGTCAAATCACGGTAATTGGGATGTCCACTGCCTCAACCATTTATTACGTCTTCGTGTGGGGAATGTTCCAAGTCTTCTCTTCTTGGTATTTTGAAATATACAACAAATTATTGTTAACTATAGTCAACCTACTGTGCTATCGAACACTAGAAGTTATTCCATCTAACTGTACCATTATACCCATTAGCTAACTTCTCTTCAATCTCCTCTCCCCCCTACTCATCCCAATCTCTGTTAACCACCATTTTACTGTCTACTTCCACGAGATCAATTTTTTTTAACTCCCATATATAGGTGAGAACCTGCAGTATTTGTCTTTCTATTTCTGGATTATTTCACTTAACAAAAAGTTATCCAGCCTTACCCATGTTGCTGCAAATGAAGGGATTTCATTCTTTGTTTTTTTATTTTGGCTGAGTAATATTCCATTGTGTATGTATATCACTTTTTTTTTTTTTTTTGAGTCAGAGTCTTGCTCTGTCGCCCAGGTTGGAGTGCAGTGGCATGGTCTTGGTTCCCTGCAACCTCTACCTCCTGGGTTCAAGCAATTCTCCCTGCCTCAGCCTCCTGAGTAGCTGGGATTACAGGTGCCTGCCACCATGCCTGGCTAATTTTTATAGTTTTAGTAGAGATGGGGTTTCGTCGTGTTGGCCAGGCTGGTCTCTAACTCCTGAGCTCAGGTGATCTGCGTGCCTTGGCCTCCCAAAGTGCTGGGATTAGAGGTGTGAGCCACCACGCCCGGCCCACATTTTCTTTATCCATACATCTGCTGGACACTTAGGTTGATTCTATATCTTGACTATTGTGAATAGTGCTGCAATAAACATTGGAGTGTGGCTATCTCTTTGATATATTGATTTCCTTTCTCTTGGATATATACCTAGCAGTGGGATCATCAGATTGTAGGGTAGTTCTTTTTTTTTTAGTTTTGTGAGGCACTTTCAGACTGTTCGCCATAGTGGCTGTACTAATTTACATTTCCACCAACAATGTATGAGGGTTCCCTTTTCTCCACATCTTTGCTAGCATCTGTTATTGCCTATCTTTTTGATAAAAGTGATTTTTAACTAGGGTGAGGTGATGTCTCATTGTAGTTTTAATTTGCATTTCCCGATGATTAGTGATGTTGAGCATTTTTCATATACTTGTTGGCTGTTTGTATGTCTTCTTTTGAGAAATGTCTATTAAGATCATTTGTCACTGGGCGCATGGCTCACACCTGTAGTCCCAGCAATTTGGGAGGCCGAGGTGGGCAGATCACCTGAGGTCAGGAGTTTGAGACCAGCCTGGCCAACATAGCGAAACCCTGTCTCTACTAAAAATACAAAAATTAGCCTGATGTAGGGGCACATATCTGTACCTCTACCTACTCAGGAGGCTGAGGCACGAGAATCCCTTGAACCTGGGAGGCAGAGGTTGCAGTGAGCTGAGATCGTGCCACTGCACTCCAGCCTGGGCGACAGAGCAAGACACTGTCTAACAACAACAAAAAAGATTATTTGTCCATTTTAGATCAGATAAATTTGTGTGTTGCTATTGAGTTTTTTAAGTTCCTTATATATTCTGATTATTAATTTCTTGGGAGATGGATAGTTTGCAGATATTTTCTCCCATTCTGTGGGCTGCTGATTGTTTCCTCTGCAGTGCAGAAGCTTTTTAACTTCATATGATCCCATTCGTCCATTTCTGCTTTGGCTTCCATACTTGTAGGGTATTACTCAAGAAATATTTGCCCAGTTCAGTGTCTTACAGAGCATCCTCAATGTTTTCTTTTAGTAGTTTTATAGTTTCAGGTCTTATATTTAAGCCTTTAATCCATTTTGATTTGAATTTTGTACACGGTAAGAGATAGTGGTCCAGTTTCATTCTTCTGCATATGGATATCCAGTTTTCATGGAGCCATTTATTGAAGAGCCTGTCCTTTCCTTTGCTGAAAAGGAGATGCCTGTAAATACACGGATTTATTTCTGGGTTCTCTATTCTGTTCCATTGGTCTGTATGTCTGTTTTTATGCCAGTAACATGCTGTTTTGGTTACTATAGTTTGGCGGTATATTTTGAAGTTTGGTAATGTGATACCTCAAGCTTTTTTTTTTTTCCCCTGGTATTGCATTGGCTATTCTGGGTCTTTTGTGGTTCCATATGAATTTTTGGATTTTTTTTTCCTATTTTTGTGAAGAATATTGTTGGTATTTTGATAGGAATTGCATTGAATATGTAGATTGCTTTGGGTAGGATGGACATTTTAACAATATTAATTCTTCTAATTAATGAACATAGGTTGTCTTTCCATTTTTTGGTGTTCTCTCACTTTCATCAGTGTCTTATAGTCTTCCTTGTATTGATTTTTTTACTTTTTTGGTTCAGTTGATTCCTAGGTATTTTATATTCTTTGTAGCTATTGTAAATGGGATTGCTTTCTTGATTTGTTTTTCAGATTGTTTGCTTTTTGCATATAGAAATGCTACTGATTTTAATATGTTGATTTTATATCTTGCAACTTTACTGAATTTGTTTATCACTCTAATGGCTGTTTGTTGGTGTCTTAAGTATTAGATCATGTCATCTGCAGACAGGACAATTTGACTTTTTCCTTTGCAATTTGAGTGCTCTTTATTTCATTCTCTTTTCTAATTGCTTTGGCTAGGACTTCCAATACTATGTTGCATAAAAGTGGTGAAAGTAGGCATCTTTGTCATGTTCTAGATCTTAGAGGAAAGTCTTGCAATTTTTCCATGTTCAGTATGATGTTAGCTCTGGATTTGTCATATGTGGCTTTTATTGTTTTGATGTATATTTCTTCTTTACTGAGTTTGTTGAAAATTTTTTTTATCATGAAGGTATGTTTAATTTTATCAAATGCTTTTCAGCATCTATTGAAATGATTATAGGGTTTTTGTCCTTTATTCTGTTGATGTGATATATCATGCTTATTAATTTGCATATGTTGAACCATCTGAATCCCACTTAATCATGGTGAGTGATCTTTTTAATGTGCTGTTGAGTTCAGTTTGCTAGTATTTTGTTGAGGATTTCTGCATCTGTGTTCATCTGGGATACTGCTCTGTAGTTTACTTCTTTAGTTGTGTCCTTTTCTGGTTTTGGTATTAGGATAATGCTGTCTTCATAGAATGAGATTGAAAATATTCTGCCCTCTTCAATTTTTTGGAATAGTTTGAGTATAATTGGTATTAGTTCTTTTTTTAAAGGTTTATTAGAATTCAGCAGTGAAGCCATCAGGTCCTAAGCTTTTGCTTAATGGGAGACTTTTTATTGCTTCAATCATATTACTTGTTATTGGTCTGTTTGGGTTTTCTATGTCTTTATGTTTCAATCTCAGGTTGTATGTGTCCAGGAATTTATCCATTCCTTCTAGGTTTTCCAATTTGTTGGCATATAGTTACTCATAATAGTGTCTAATGATCCTTTATATTTCTGTGGTATTGGTTACCATATCTCCTTTCATCTCTGAATTTATTTATTTGAGTCTTTTCCTTTTTCCTTATTCTACCTACAGATTTGTCAATATTGTTTATCTTGTCAAAAAATTGACTTTTGGAGCTCTTGTAAAAGTTCAGATTGCTTACTGTTGTGGACTTGGAGTGTCTGCAACGAAAGGATACCCTGGCTGTGTGGGAAGGCTGGCTAGGGCTTTATAGCCTCATGGACTCATGGAGCGTGCTTCCTACACCGTAACACTGCTGAACAACCTCTTTGATTTGGTGTCTTTTTTGGCTGAGATGAAGAGTGATCACTGAGTTTTGTTCATTGGGGATTGCTAACCCCATCTCTACCCATTGTCTCTGGCTGCCTTTAGGATTTTTTTACCCTATAGGCAAAGATGCTTCCCTTAGGTTGAAGCAGGAATGATTTTTCTGTGAAGGAACCCAGCATGGAGATAAGGGTGTCTGTCTGCCTTGATCTCACTTCTTTCAGTGTAGTATTGTGAGTCCATGGGAGTTTTTCCACATGCGGCCTGGCAGCTTGAGGGCGGGGTGTTGTGGATAGAGTGGTCTGTTTCTCTTACCTTCTGCTTGAAGTTTTTTGCTTCTCTCTGGCCCCTGGGATCATCACAGCCTCCATTTTGGTTTCTGGGATACTCCTGAGGATAATTGGTACTAGATAGTTGTTTTGGTTTTCTGTGGGGAAGAGTGAAGCCAGATTGCTTCTACTCTGCCATTATGGTAACATGACTCCTCTCAGTTTTGCTTTTTTATCTAGTCTGAGAATATCTGTCTTTAAATATGTTATTTAGATAATTAAATTCAGTATAATTATCAGTAAATTTGTGTTTAAGTCTACCATCTTGCTCTTTATTTTCTAGTTATCCCATCTGTACTTTTTTCTTTTTCTTTTGAATTTTTAGAGCTTTAAAAAAATTGCTTCATTTTATTTCCAACATGAGCTATACTTTTTTTTTTTGTACAGTTGACCCTTCAACATCATGGAGGTTAGGGGTCCCCAAGCCCCCAGTGCATTAGAAAATCCAAGTGTGTGACCAGAAGTCTTACCAATAACATAAACAATTAACACACATTTTGTATATGTATTATATATTGTATTCTTACAATAAAGTAAACTAGAGAAAGGAAATTTTTGTTAAGAAAAATCATAAGGAGGCTGGGCATGGTGGCTCACACCTGTAAACCCAGCACTTTGGGAGGCTGAGGCAGGCAGATCACTTGAGGTCAGGAGTTCGAGACTAGCCTGGCCAACATGGTAAAACCCCATCTCTATGGAAAATACAAAAATTAGCTGGGTATTGTGGTGCATGCCTGTAATTCCAGCTACTCAGGAGGCTGAGATAGGAGAATTGCTTGCACCCAGGAGGTAGAGGTTGCAGTGACCCAAGATCATGCCACTGCACTCCAGCCTGGGCGACAGAGCAAGACTTTGGCACCATTGAGTAGGACTGGAGCTGGGTTAAAGGGCTGCTTCTGTGTCCACAGTCAAATGCACAGTTTTGGTGGGTCTATTACTGGGGAGCAGGTGGGTGTGATACCTTCCAGGTCCCTAGACAGATGGGACTTCCTCCAAGACTGCACAGAGAAACAGGCCTGGAGCCAAGACTCCAAGGTACCTCACTTCAAAGAGCTGCTCTTCTCTCCAGATCTTGACCCTCATATCCTGGCTGCTCTAACAGTTGCCCCAAGTAATTTATAGATTCGATGCTATCTCCATCAAGCTACTACTGACTTTCTTCAGAAAATTAAAAAAAAACTACTTTAAATTTCATATGGAACCAAAAAAGAGCCTGTATAGCCAAAACAATCCTAAGCAAAAAGAAAAAAACTGGAGGTATCATGCTACCTGACTTCAAACTGTACTACAAGGCTACAGTAACCAAAACAGCATGTTACTGGTACCAACACAGATATATAGACCAATGGAACAGAACAGAGGCCTTAGAAATAACACCACACATCTACAACCATCTGATCTGTAACAAACCTGAGAAAAACAAGCAATGGGGAAAGGATTCCCTATTTAATAAACGATGTTGGGAAAACTGGCTAGCCATTTGCAGAAAACTGAAACTGGACCCCTTCCTTATACCTTATACAAAAATTAACTCAAGATGGATTAAAGACTTAAACATAAGACCTAAACCCATAAAAACTCTAGAAGAAAACCTAGGCAATATCATTCAGGACATAGGCATGGGCAAAGACTTCATGACTAAAACAACAAAATCAATGGCAACAAAAGCCAAAATTGACAAATGGGATCTAATTAAACTAAAGAGCTTCTGCACAGCAAATGAAACTATCATCAGAGTGAACAGGCAACCTACAGAATGGGAGAAAATTTTTGCAATCTAACCACCTGACAAAGGGCTAATATCCAGAATCTACAAGGAACTTAAACAAATTTACAAGAAAAAAACAACCCCATCAAAAAGTGGGCAAAAGATGTGAACAGACACTTCTCAAAAGAAGACATTTATGTGGCCAACAAACAAATGAAAAAAAGCTCATCATCACTAGTCATTAGAGAAATGCAAATCAAAATCACAATGAGATACCATCTTATGCCAGTTAGAATGGCGATCATTAAAAAGTCAGGAAACAACAGATGCTGGAGAGGATGTGGAGAAATAGGAATGCTTTTACACTGTTGGTGGGAGTGTAAATTAGTTCAACCATTGCAGAAGACAGTGTGGCGATTCCTCAAGGATCTAGAACCAGAAATACCATTTGATCCAGCGATCCCATTGCTAGATATATACCCAAAGGATTATAAATCTTTCTACTATAAAGATACATGCACACATATGTATATTGCAGCCCTGTTCACAATAGCAAAGACTTGGAACCAACCTAAGTGCCCATCAATGATAGACTAGATAAAGAAAATGTGGCACATATACACCATGGAATACTATGCAGCCATAAAAGAGGATGAGTTCATGTCCTTTGCAGGGACATGGATGAAGCTGGAAACCATCATTCTCAACAAACTAACACAGGAACAGAAAACCAAACACCACATGTTCTCACTCATAAGTGGGAGTTGAACAATGAGAATACATGGACACAGGAAGGGAACATCACACACCGGGGGCTGTCATGGGGTGGGGGGCTAGGGGAGGGATAGCATTAGGAGAAATGCCTAATGTAGATGATGGGTTGATGGGTGCAGCAAACCATCATGGCACATGTATACCTATGTAATAAACCTGCACATTCTGCACATGTATCCCAGAACTTTAAAGTATAATAAAAAAAATTCTGCAAAGCCTTCAAATAGATGTTTTTTAAATCCAGTTTTTGTTGTTGTTCCTAGCATTAAGACTGGCTTGCCAGAAACTAGCTCATCATAGCTGGCATTGGAAATTTCACGCGGTATTTTTTTTTTATATAGAAGATATGTTCAAATCAGGTTCCAAATAAATTTTACACATTGCATTTGATTGATATACCTTATAAGTCTTTTTTAAATATGGGAATCTTTTTCCTACCTTTCTCTTATTGTATTTGATTTGATGAAGAAACTGGGTCATTTATCCTGTAGAGTTTTCTGAATTTTCCTGATTGTATTCCCATGGTGATATTTAACATGTTGCTCAGTCTCCTGTATGTCTTGTAAACTGGTAGTTAGAGCTAGAGGATTGATAATATGCATCAGTTCCTATTTTGGTTATGTTTTACAATAATAAATCCAATAGTTAATGCTCTTTGCTTTCTACTCCATCTTTTAAGATTAAGAGTGTGTTTACTTGTCAGCCAGCATCTATTATAAAAAGTTTACTCCCTGAATTTTTTACCTAACGTTTCAGTAGTCATTGAAGATCATTGCTAAGGTTCATTATTTCATTTGAGGTTACAGTGGTAATATTTTATTACTCATTTTTACTGCTTTTATTTTTAATTTGTTTTCCTGAAAGAATGTTATTTTAGTGCTATTTAAAAATATTATTCACACTTTCTCCTTCACACTTTGAAGGGATACCATTTCACTCCAGAGAGACAGAAACACTGAACAGAAGAGGCTTGAAAACTGTTTGAGCCCTCCTAGTACCCACATTCAGAGACTTTTCACTCTCACTTTATTTGATCTCTTTGACTCTAAATTCTAACCAATAAGAAAGTAAGAGAGTTTTATACCTAAAATTGCTATATCATTCTCCAACCCAGGAAAACAGATATCACCCTGGGGAACTTCTTAAATTATACTTCTACTTTATTCTAGTCCTTCATGTTCTATATGGAGGCACTAAAGGTCAAGGACTCTGTATTACCTATTTCTGTGTAATAAATTACCCCAAAACGTAGTGGCTTAAAACACATACTTTTTTATATCACACATTTTGTGGGTCAGTAATTTTATATCACATATTTTGTGGGTCAGTAATTTTATATCACAATTTTGTGGGTCATTTTTTGTGATGCAGCTTAGTTGAGTAACTCTGACTTAATAAAGGTTTTTCATGAGGTTGTAGTCAGTATCAGCCAAGGCTGTTTTCATCTGCTCTCCTGAGGGTAGGTCCACTTCTCAGCTCACCCACGGGAACTAGTAGCATTCAGTTCCTCCCTAGCTGTTGTCCAGAGGGTCACCCTCAGTTTTCTGCCGCTAGGGCCTCTCCATCGGGCAGCCCTCAGCATGGCAGCTGGCTTTCTTCAGATGAGAAATAAGAGAACAAGAGAGAGCTCTCTTTGTAACCTAATTGCAGATGTGATATCCCATCACTTGTGCTGTACTCTCCCCATTAGATGCAAGTCACTGTCTAGCCTGCGCTCAAAAGTGAGGGGTTACAGCAGAGCATAAATAGCAGGAGGCAGGAATCACGGGGGCCATCTTAGAGGCTGTAATGTATATGACCTGACAGCAGCCACGCCTTTGAAACAGCCCACATTATCAGAGTATTTTTTGCTCTTTGGTATTGGAAATAGGCTCTTTTTTGTTGAAAGTCTCCAACCTATCTGTGTTAAAGGGCTTAGTCTCTGAACAAAGCTAGCTTTATTAGGCAACTATATCTGTAATGATATTAGAGCATTTTCTTTCTTATGATACACTCTTTTAATTTTTTCTTGTAGCCCTGGTTGTTGCTATGAAACAGCTATGACAAGACATTTTTATCATGGCCGTACAGAGACTATGCGATCATGCACAGTTGAAGCAGTGAGGTGGTGCCAGTCCATGCAGGATCCTTCTGTCAATGTGAGTATTGGAAAGGAAAAAAACTCACAAGATTTGTTTAATTGTTCTAAAGGAACCGTGGTCTTTGAGTAACTAACTTCTTTGCTTCAGTTTTCCTGGATCATTAAAATACTTTGAGACATCTTTTCTGAGGTTTTTAAAGCATTTGTTCATTCACCAGTGAAATGTGTAATTGGAAACAGGGAAGGCAGGAAAAGGATCCCATTTGTGTTATTTTCTAGGCAAAGGGTCTTCAGTACTTTAGGTATTTCAGGACTTCTAATCTACCTTTAGAACAACACCAACAAAGTGCAGAAATCCCAAGGTGCCTTTAAAAGGAAGGTTTTCTTGATGTGGTTGAATGTTTTTGAAATGACAGATTCTTGTTTCATATAGTGGAACCAGGACAGTTGTATGCTTTGTTTCATACTCTTTTTTTTGAAGCATTTAGACAACAGCAAATTTCCTTCTCACTGTTATTTTAGTATTATATTTGTTTCTTTAGTTTTGCTAGATGTGGTTATATATGAGTGCCTGTATCTTAATTTTATAGAACTGCTTTATTGTCATTTTTAGTTATGCTTTCATTTTTGAAATATCGGTTGCTTTTATCTTTATACTTGTTAGTGTCACTTCAGTGCTGCCCACAAGTTCATAGTTTCCTATTCCAGGAAAGAAATAAGAAGCAGGATATACAGGGAAGACTAGGCGATAGAATAACTGATGGAAAGATATAGGAGTATGTGTTATAGATCTTCCTAGAAATCTTTCCTCTCCCAAATTACCCCAATCCTAATTACAATGAGCTTAGGATTTTTTTCTAGTTGGGTTTTGCACAGTGTGTTATTGAAGTGTCTCTCGATTTTTAATACAGCTTCGTGAGCGGCAGCAAAAGATGTTACAAGCTTTTGCAAAGCATAATAAAATGATGAAAGATTGTTCAGCTGGAAAAGGTACTTAAGTTAAAATTTTTCTGACTTAAAAATCTCTCATGGTGAAAAATTTTTTTCTAACCTGAGATTTGGGGTTTCATTGCAGGATTTGATCGTCACCTTTTAGGTCTCTTACTCATAGCAAAAGAGGAAGGTCTTCCTGTTCCAGAACTCTTTACGGACCCACTTTTTTCCAAAAGGTAATATAGTGTAGTGTTTTACAGCTTCATCAATTGGCTTCCTCTTTTTGTATATTAAATGGTTTTTAGAAACAATATAAGCATCTGTAGGCCTAGTAAAATGTTCTTTTATTGTGCCACACAGCGGAGGAGGTGGAAATTTTGTTCTCTCAACAAGTCTGGTTGGCTATTTACGAGTCCAGGGAGTGGTAGTTCCCATGGTACACAATGGTTATGGATTTTTCTACCATATCAGAGATGACAGGTGAGGCTTCTCTTTTTTATTCTTTCTGTGCTATAGAGTAGGAAAGGTATTACTTTTGTTTTTAAATGCCTTTCCTACACTGTGATTCTTATATTGCCATCTGTCACTTGCTACATAAGTAACTATTTTTTTCCACTTAGGCATTTAATGCATATTCATGTTTCTCTGTCCTGCTTTTGAGACACTTGTCAGATTAGTCCCTTAGGTGTCTTTATGCAGAACACTGTTTCAAGTCGATTCGGCAATCATATCATCATCCTCAAAATCAGTACACCCATGAACATATTTGGTTTGTACAAGGTATTTTATAATAAGCTCAGATAAAATGTTTAAATATATGGTGGTTCATGTAGTCATAGACAATATTAATGAGATAGAGAAAAGAGATTGGGTAAATTATACTTTTTAAAACAGTTTTACCAATTCAGATGCAGTTCACTTGGGCTGTGTGGAGTTTGACTTATGTTTATGGAAAGAATGAGAAAGAAAAGATCAAAACCTGGTATAAAAAAGAGTAGTGGAGAACAAGATAAAATGAAAGTGATAGCAAGGCTTGTAAGGTCCTTATCTACAGTCTGGCAGTCTCTTTACAGGGGCTTTTCAAAGCATAGTTGGCTTCATAAAAATTACGTGACTACATTTAGCACTATGTGAATAAGAAGAGGGCAGGCTTGGAGGCACTTCAGATAGAATGTGAAAAATTGGAATAGTAATATGCATGACATATTTCAGTTTCTAATACAACTGACCCTTGAACAACATGGGTTTGAACTGCATGGGCACACTTACATGCAGATTTTAAATAAATGAGAAAATTTTTTGGAGATTGAGACAATTTGAAAAAACTCAAAACTGTGTAGTGTAGAAATATTCAAAAACTAAAGTATTCATGAATGCATAAAATATATACAGATACTAGTCTATTTCATCATTTACTACCATAAAATATACACAAATCTACTATACAAAGTTGAAATTTATCAAAATATATGAACATAAGCCCTTACAGACTTTATATGGTGCCATTTGCAGTCAAGAGAAATGTAAACAAATGTAAAGATGCAGTTTTCAATCATAATTGCATTAAATTAACTGTGGTACACACTGTACTACTATAATAATTTTGTAGCTACCTCATGTTGCTACTGTGGTGAGCTAAAGAGTTGCAAGTATCTCCTTAAGATGTCACATAATGCTAATCATCTCTGCAGAAGCAGTTTGTCTCTTTAGCAGATCACAAAAAGTGATCTTTCGTGGTTTATTCTCATGTATTTTTCATTGTGGGTAGTACAGTATTGTAAACATTGAATAATACCATGGGACCCACATGTAGTGCTTCTAGTGATACTGCAAGTGCTCCCAAGAAGCAGAGAAAAGTCATGACATTACAAGAAAGAGTTGATTTGCTTGATAAGTATCATAGATTGAGATCTGTAGCTGCATTTGCCCATCATTTCAACATAAATAAATCTAGTATAAGTACTATTTAAAAAAAAAAAGGAAATTTGTGAAGCTATTGCTGCAGCTACACTGGCAGGCATTAAAACTTTGCCGTTTGCAAAATGCCTTTTGATCTCCAATTAAAAATGCAGCTTTTTGGTGGGTGCTATATTTTTTATAGCAAAAAAAATGCCTTTCTTGCTATAAAAAGGCATACCTATAGACTCTACTATGATTCTAGAAAAAGCGAAGTTATTATATGACAACTTTACAGGAAGGTGAAGGATCTGAAGCTGGAGAATTTAATGCCAGCAAAGGATAGTTTGATAATTTTAGAAAGAGGTTTGGCTTTAAAAATGTCAAGATAACAGGAGAAGTAGAGGCAGCAGACAAGTTCCCAGACACCATCAAGAAAATCACTGAGGACAAAGGATATCTGCCTGAACAGATTTTTAATGCAGACAAATGTGCCCTATTCTGAAAAAAAAAATGCCACAAAGGACATTTGTTAGTAAGGAAGAGAAGTGTATTAGTCAGGGTTCTCTACAGGGACAGAACTAATAGGATATTTAAGAAGTATGTAAGAAGCATTAACTCACACGATCACAAGGTCCCACAATAGGCCAGCTGCAAGCTGAGGGGCAAGAAAGCCAGTTTGAGTCCCACAGCTGAAGAAGTTAGAGTCCAACGTTCAAGGCCAGGAAGCATCTAGCACAGGAGAAAGATGTAGGCTGGGAGGCTAAGCCAGTCTAGTCTTTTCAGGTTTTTCTGCCTGCTTTATATTCTGGCTGTGCTGGCAGCTGATTAGATGGTGCCCTCCCAGATTAACGGTGGGTCTGACTTTCCCAGCCCACTGACTCAAATGTTAATCTCCTTTGGCAACACTGTCTCAGACACACCCAGGATCAATACTTTGCATCCTTCAATCAAACCAAGTTGACACTCAGTATTAACCATCACAAGAAGCAAGCATCAGGCTTTAAGGCAGAAAGGGATAGGCCAACACTACTGTTTTGTGCAAATGCAGTAGGGTTTATGATCAGGACTGCCTTTGTCTGTAAAGCTGTTAACTTTGAGCCTTGAAGGGAAAAGATAAACATCAGCTGCTAGTTTACAAGAAGGCCTGGACCAATGATAACCTTTTTTTCTGGACTGGTTTCTTTGATGTTTTGTCACTGAAGTCAGGAAGTACCTAGCCTTTTAAAGTTGTTTTGATTTTGGACAGTGACCCTGGCCACCCAGAACCCCATGATTTAAACACCCAAGGTGTCAAAATGGTCTACTTGCCCCCAGACATGTCTCTAATTCAGGCTCTAGATCGGGGGTTATAAGGACCTTTAAGGCTCATTACATGCAGGACTCAATAGAAAGGATTGTCACCAAGGATTGTCTTTTACCCCAATGGAAGAGAACATCATGAAAGTCTGGAAGGATTACACCATTGAAGATGCCATTGTTGTTAAGAAGAAGTCATGAAAGCAGTCAAGCCCAAAACAATAAATTTCTACTAGAGAAAACTATGTCCAGATGTACATGATTTCACAGGATTTACGACAGAGCCAGTCTAGGAAATCATGAAAGAGATTGTCGATATGGCAAAAAAAAGTGGAGGGTGAAGGATTTCAAGGTATGGATGTTGGGCCAGTTTCAGTGGCTCATGCCTGTGTTTCCAGCAGTTTGGAAGGCCAAGGTGGGAAGATTGCTTGAGGCCAGGAGTTTGAGACCATCCTGAGCAATATAGTAAGACCTCATCTCTATTAAAAAATTTGAAAAATCACGCACTAATAGTCACCACACCAGAGGAATTAACAGAAGGTGACTTGAAGGAGATGAGTGCTTCTGAACCAGAGCCAAATGACGAGGAGGAAGACATAGTAGAAGCAGTGCCAGAACTGATGTTAGATAATCTCACAGAAGCGTTCTGATTATTCAAGACTGTTTTTGATGGCTTTTATGACATGCACTGGACCCTTCTATGATAGGAGCATTGAAACTAAAGCAAGTGGGGCAAGGGTTGGTACAGTATAGAAACATTTTTAGAGAAATGAAAAAGCAAAAAGATAGAAATTACAATGTATTTACATAAAGTTACACTGAGTGTGCCAGCCTCCCCTGCCTCTTCTTTCATCTCTTCTACCCCAAGACTAGACCACTGCATTTTAAATGTATTACATGCTGATTGTAAAAAAAAAAAAGTTGTTAAATATAAAAACTACATAAGAACAAAGTTATCTACATTTCCATTACATGGCATAAGACTATAATTATATGATGCTCCCAACCTATAATGTATGTAGACTGTATATTTACACTGTAAATATTTGTGTCCTTTTTTGTGAATTTCATTCTTGCTTATTATTTCAAGCAGTTTACAATGCTATTAAGTATGCTTTGAGATATTTTGATGGTTGTATAATTTCCAGTCTTAGGATTCCTATGATTTATCTAACTGCTTCTCTACTATTTTGTTTTTCCATCATTACAAATAATGTATAAGGTTATAAACGTATCCTTTCTCATTTCATCACACCATTGCCAACTCTAGTTATTATAAAAATTCTGTAGGCTAGGCATGGTGGCTCACGCCTGTAATCCCAGCACTTTGGGAGGGATTACACTAGATCACTTGAGGCCAGGAGTTCAAGACCAGTCTGGCCAACATGGTGAAACCCCATTTCTACTAAAAATACAAAAATTAGCTGGTGTGGTAGCACACACCTGTAGTCTGAGTTACTTGGGAACCTGAGGCACGAGAATTGCTTCACACTGGGAGATGGAGGTTGCAGTGAGCTGAGATCATGCCACTGCACTCCAGTCTGGGCAACAGAGTGAGACTCTTTCTCAAAAAAAAAAAAAGTATTTACTCATTTGACAGGCAAAAAATAACATAAATTACTTGTTTACCTATGAAGTAAAACATGTTTTCATTGTTTTTGGCATTGTGTTTCTTTCATGAATTGTCTGTACATGTAGGAAAGGCTGTTCTTTAGAAAGATAACTGAAATTTTTTTAAAAAATTGACACTTGAATAAGAATGGTTAATCTGTGGAGAGAAACATGTTTAGATGCTGCTAAATATCTGGGAATTCCATGCCAAGTGTAGCTGGAGAATGATTCGTGATCATGAATCACGAGGTGAAAACAAGGCAGGACTTCCTAAAGGTTTCTGTATTACTTTTCTGCAAATATAATCCACTCAGACATTGGTTTCATCATTATATACTGGGCTAGAGCATGTTCTTATTTTTATTTCTCTTTGTTTAACTTAAAGCACATGTTGAAGACATAATTTACTCTTTTTTTAAGTGATGTGAAAATTGCATGGTTTTCCAGAAGCATTACATTGCACATTTTAATTTTGAGCCTAATTCATATTTCGCTATAGAAACTTCTGTCTGTAAAGTGGAAGACTAGCTCTAAGTCAGGCTTCTCTCCTATTTATTTCAGCTTCCCAGGGCCACTTTTCTCACTTGCCAGATCTGGGATTTCTTATTAGGAGTATCTCGAGAAAGATGGTGGAAGGCATGACTTGATCCCAAGAGTTTCTCTTTTTGACTCCTAGAAATAGCCTTTCTCACCTATCATCCTTCTCTGCCTTTTTTTTTTTTTCAAACTTTCTTCAAGTACTCTTTAAAAACAGTTTAAATTTCATTAAAAACTGTAGCATGAATTCATATTCCAACTCATTCCAGTAGCACTTTAGGAAGGACTTTTCTAGGAAGGAGGTTTTTTGTTCTGTTTTAAACGCAGTAAGACCTAGCTTCAGAGCACTCTAGGGCTCTAGCTAATTTGTTCCCCTTTGTCCCTAGGTGCTAGTCATCTAATGAATGAGGTGTTTCTTAGCATTATCTACAGATATGGCTTTACCTTCAATTGTGTCAGGTTACATTTACCTAATGTCAGCAAGACTTCACATTTCATGTATGAATATCCAGATGAAATAAAGTCCTGGTTGTATTCACCATCACTATTTGGAGCCTTTTGTGTAATCATTAATCATTATTTATGCTTCACAGGTTTGTTGTGGCCTGTTCAGCCTGGAAATCCTGTCCCGAGACTGATGCGGAAAAGCTAGTTCAGCTGACTTTTTGTGCTTTTCATGATATGATACAGCTGATGAACTCTACTCATCTTTAGAGATGAATCATCTATTAAGCACTTACCAAAACATATCATTAAACTGAGTGCTGGGAGTGAGTTGGTAATATGAGATGGGAAGGAATGTTGACTTGCTAACATTCCTTTAACAAGTTAAGAAAACTTGTTAAATGTAGAAATTAGTAGAATCATGCTCTCTAAATTTATTCTGCCATAGAAGGTAGAAATATTTTTAAGCTCCTCTGATGCAGCAGCAATGCAAATTATGACATAGTGAATATAGAACTATGCAGTATTTAAGCCTCAACAATCCAAATCTACAAACTTTAACAATGCAAGTCTTACTCTAATTTTTAAGTATTTTTGTTGGTACTTACATGGGTTATAAATCCTCTCTCTGGACATCAATGTAGAGTCCATCTTTCAAGCACTTTAATTTTTTTAGCTGCCAAAGGGTATGAATTACATTATTGTATGCTAATTTCCCTGAAATCAATGCCTTCTATGTTCACCACAGGGATACAAGCCTGTTATGTTTGATGGGAAAGACCACTACAATCTAATGGTGATCTAAAATAACTTTTTTGGGCTGGGTGCAGTGGCTCATGCCTATAATCTTAGCACTTTGGGAGGCCAAGGTAGGAGGATTGCTTGAAGCTAGGAGTTTGAGACCAGCCTGGGCAACAGGGTAAGGTCCTGTCTCTACAAGATCAAAAACTTAGCCGGGTATGGTGGTGCATGTGTGCCTGTAGTCCAAGCTACTTGAAGGCTGAGACAGGAGGATCGGTTGAGCCCAGGAGGTTGTGGCTGCAGTGAGCTGTGATGTGCCCTTATGCTATAGCCTGGGCAAGAGCGTGAGACCCTGTCTCAAAGAAGAAAAAAAGAGAAAAATAACTCTTTTGAACAAACAGACAAATTAGCTAGTAGTATGGAGATGTATACCCTCTATTACACACATAAAACCGTAACAAAATTCATTGTGGTGTATTATAATTAGTTTTGTGAATAGAAAAATAAAGCACTTATGTTTAAATTTGTTACAGTGACTTTTAAAGGATTAATGTTGAATCACATTGTCAGAATTTTTTCCTCCTCGCTGTTCAATTTTGTAGTTTTTACTCTCAAAAAATGAAATTCTCAAAATTATATAGCTTTTTGTTTTGTTTGAATAAATGATTCATTCCTGTTTGCTTTTCTGGTGCTTTTTGACCTCAGTTATATATTGCTGTGTAATTAACCATCCAAAACTTAGTGTCTTGAATCAGTTTATTGTTTCTCATTACTTTGTCAGTTGATTGATAACAGCTAGACAGTTCTTCTGCTCATCTTGCCTGTGTTTATTTGTACAGCTATAATCATCAGGCAACCAGGACTGAGGCTGGAAAGTTTAAGATCACCTCACCAACTATCTGTAAATTTGGTGGCTGGGACTGTCTCTCCTGACATGGTCTCTGATCATCTAGTATTCAGAATTGAGCTTCCTTACTTGGTAGTGAGAGTGTTCTGAGAGGTGAAGGTCCCTTGAGGCCTAGGCCCTGAAGTCACATGCCATCACCTGGCTGCATTTTGTTGATTAAACCAAGTCACAAGAGAAGTCCAGATTCAAGGAGTGGGGAAAAAGTAATATCTTGATAAGAGAAAGTCACTTTGTAAAAGAGTGGGCACAGAGGGCATGATTATGGGTACTATAGCAATCTGCCAGACATTTTAATATATGTAAAGATTACATCATACTCAGGGTACTGATTCTATACATCCCTTTTAAGAAACATGTACGCTCTGAATTTGATAAGACTGGTTTATTGCTAACAATTAAGCCCTTTACACTGTGCCAGCCTCTGTCCTGAAAAGCATCAGTACTATTTCTCTGTGAAAACATTCAGAGTTGGCTTCAGTAGCATTTGATACATTTCTTCACAGTTGGTATAGAAAAGGAAGATGAGATCTGAACTAAGAACCTTTTCCCCTCATTCTAATGCAGGGTTTTAAACTAGATAGCGAGGACATTTAGAATCATTTGGTTGGTTTATAAATACAGGTTGAACATTCCAAATTTGAACACCAGAAATGCTCCAAAATCCAAAACATTTTGAGTGCTGACATAAGGAAATGCTCATTGGAACATTTAGGATTTCTGGACTTGGGATGCTCAGCCAGTGAGTATAATGCAAATATTCTGAAATATGAAACACTTCTGATCCCAAGCATTTTAGATAAGAATACTCAACCTATAATGTGTAATGAGTTGCGTATTTTGGAGACTGCATCACCTGCACAGAAACCTCCTCTCACTCACACTTCACCACTTTTCCTAACTTGCCTGATGTGAATAATCACCTAGAGTGTATTTTAAAAAACAGATTCCTGGGCCTCAACCCAGACCTACTGAATCAATTATTTTGTTTACGAATAGATGCCCCATGATTCTGATCAGGCAAGTTTGGGTATCATTATACAGGAATAGGTCAAACACTACTTTGGGTCACTGCAGTAATGTACTTTTTGCCCCACTTTTATCTTGGTTAATCTGAAACTTGATCCACTCACACAGTGGTCACATTTGAAAAATTCTTTGGTAATATGGCTTATTACAGTTAGAAGAACTTTGGATGATTTACTGAATTTAACAACCTGATAGAGCGCTAAGAACTAATTTGTTGCAGAAAATTGTGGAGAAAACAAAGGGAAAATTATTGAAACATTTCAGTGTGGTTAGCTTCTAGGGGTTGTCTATATTTTTTGCTTTCCATCTAAACATACCTTTCATTGTAGGAAAAACGGATTTTCTGGGAAAAGTAGTCTATTTATAAAAGAGAACGCAGTTGCTATAGAAACTCAGCATGTATCATTGATGTTTGATGTTTGAAATTATACTGATAATTGTACATTTTAAATTAATGAGTTTAAAACTTTAAAAAAATACTTAATGATAGGGCTCTTTCTTGCTTTATGGAACCGATATGTGCTTTCAGAGTTAGCTCGGTAGGGCAATTTCATTTTCTCTTGATGTTGGATGATAAAGCTGGAAATTCATTCATTTAAAAAACTTTGATTCCACAATAGAATGATTTAGAAAATTACCAAGAGAGATGAGGCTATTGAACAATTTATTTTTCTTTTGTACTTGGGAAAATTATTCCCAAACTTTCCTGTCTACCCAACCCATTCAGGACCATAAGACCATTTCCCTATGTCTGTGGCTTCTATATTTCTACACCTGTACTTACCTTGAATTTTGTTCTTTTTCTGGATGTTTCTAATAACTTAGGGAGAGCTAGCCTGTTGTTTCAATACTTCATCAAGACAGGTGTCACTTCTAACTCTCAAATTTCAAATGCCGTAATAAACCCCAAATTGGGTCTTCTAAATTGATCTAGAATGAGACAGACATACCTATGTTTTATGATGACAAACCAGAAACTTATTTTACAAGTCAGATAAAATGGTAGAATAATTTGAATTTATTTTTAAAATATACTGTAGCAAAAGTTCATAAGTTCTGTGTCCCAGCCTGGACACTGACCATTGAAAAATAGATGCCTTTCTGTGCCAGCAGCTGCTGATGCGTGCCATGCTCCTTGACTCTCCCATTCTGAAACACCACTATTAAGTCTGCATTCTGGATGGTGGACAGGCGGTGAGCAATCACAATGCAGGTGCGGCCTTCTCTGGCTTTGTCCAGGGCTTCTTGGACAACCTATTGATAAATCAGACAGACACCTTATCCCAAAAATTGTATAAATTAGTTTTAACATTCAAGTAAATTTGAAAATGTTACCTTTCTAATCAACTTTTAATTTCTAGTATCTTAGAATCTTTGAACTTTATGCATGTGTATTTTGTATAATCAACATTTAATCTACATAGTTATGTTCTGCTTTTTAAATATAACACAAATGGGTTCCCATGCTGTAAAAAAATTCATAAGTATTTAAATTTTCTAATCTTCTGTTTAACTAGTTCCCTTTTGAGTATTTTCCAGTTTTTCATTCCTAATGTGCTAAAAATGTAATTTGTGCAGCTTTTTTCTTTTGAATGCTTTACTTTATAAAATATATAATCATTTTAGAAAATTTAGAATAAAATATTCCATTACTTCAAAATAACCACTATCAGCCGGGCAAGGTGGCTCACGCCTGTAATCCCAGCACTTTGGGAGGCCGAGGCAGGCGGATCACAAGGTCAGGATTCGAGACCAGCCTGGCCAACATAATGAAACCCTGTCTCTACTAAAAATACAAAAATTAGCTGGGCATAGTGGCAGGCACCTGTAGTCCCAGCTACTCAGGAGGTTGAGGCAAGAGAATCGCTTGAACCCTGGAGGCAGAGGTTGCAGTGAGCTGGATTGCGCCACTGCACTACAGCCTAGGCAACAACGAGACCCCGTCTCAAAAAAATAAAAATAAAAACCACTATCTAACGTTCTGTGTTTTTCCCCCTGTGCTTGTGTGTGTTTTTTTCATGGTTGACAGCAAAATCCCTTCTATTTCATAAATTAAATAAGACATAAGTTGGGAGGCCACACACACCTTTTCACTTTCAGTATCCAGAGCTGATGTAGCTTCATCCAACAGGAGGATTTGAGGTTGTCTGATGAGGGCTCGGGCAATAGCAATCCTCTGTTTTTGACCTCCTGAGAGCTGAGTCCCCTTATCTCCCACTCTTGTTTCATATTTCTGCAAGTTAACCAAATTATAAATATGTTGAATGAACTGTTGCTTAACAGTTGACAGTTCTATTTACAAGAAAAACATTTAGAGTCAATAACAGTTTCTATAACGTTGTTTCAACTTAACAGAGTGTTTATTTTCAAAATCAAACTAGAAAACTAGTGACTTTAATTCTCAATGGTATTCTACAATAGGCTATCTTATAATTAACTTTCTTTAAAATAGGAGGAGGATACTCTAAAATAACAAATGCTATAACGGATATATGAATCAATAAGTCATTTGTTGTCATTATCAAGTATTATGCACTGTACATAGTAGTATGTGCTATACTCTTATACAACTGGCAGTGCAGTCGCTTTGTTATGCCAGCATCACCACAAATACTTGAATTTTGTGTTGCACTATGATATTATGACAGCTATGTCACTAGGCAATAGGAATTTTTCAGTTCCATTATAATCTTATGGGAACCACTGTGGTATACGCAGTCTGTCATTGACCAAAATGTTGTTATGTAACACAGGACTGTAGTAGTATACACAGCACACTATGAAAGATCAGAAGAAGGAGATAGAAGTTGTTATGGAGACAGGGTAGAAGGAGAAAAAAGGGGAAATAAATGAAAGAAATCTTTTTAGAGAAGTTTGGGGAGCTAGATTTTGAGAGAGCATTCTAGGCTGAGAAAGAGCATATGAATAGAGATGTAAATTGAGTCAGTTCAGTTTGCAGGGCTTATGCAGTGATGTATATCATGTGAATTAATTTCCTAAGGTCCAGTGGTCACTTATATTAAGAGCTGAAGCTGTAAATTTTTCTATTCACAGTCAAATCCAATATTTGATTCAGGTCAATGTGCATTAAAGGTTGGTAAGGCTAACCAAAATGAAAGGGTTTTAAAATTTTATTTGTGGGTGTGAGTGATTTCTAACTATAGCAGAAAATAAAAGCAAAAATAATTAAGCTCTACGTCAGTGTAACCCAGTGGAACCCCGAATGCTGGAAGAATGCCATAAAATGAATTGTCCCTACCATCACTTTTAGGGACCTCAAGCCATCCTTCCAGGGCTACACATGTTTAAAGTGAACTAAAAATGGATCATGGACTGAAATTTAAAATGTAAAGCTATAAAACTTTTAGAAAAAAACATGGAGAAAATATTTTGGGCCTAGGGCTAGGCAACGAGTTCTTAGACTTGACACTGAAAGCATAATCCATAAAAGGAAGAATTGGTAAATTGGACCTCATCAAAAGTAAAACTTTTGCTCTGCAAAGACCTTCTTATAGGATGAATAAACAAGCTACAGACTGGGAGAAAACATTTACAAACTACATATCCAACAGTAATTACAATATGTTAAACAAACAAACAAAAAAAACTTCTGAAAACTCAGCAGTAAAAGATAAAAATCCAATTAGAATATGGGCAAACAACATGGAGACATTTCACCAAGAGGATATATAGATGGTAAATAAGCATATAAAAAACTATGTTCAACATCATTTGCCATTGGGAAATGCATATTAAAGCCACAGTGATGTATCACTACACTCTTATCAGAGTGGTAAAAATAAAAACTAATGACAACAGTAAATGCTGGCAAAGATTCAGAGAAACTACATCACTTACACATTGCTGGTAGGAATGTAAAATGGGATGGCCACTCTGGAAAACAGTTTAGCAGTGGCTTATAAACTAAACATGAAATTGCCATACTGCTCCACAATTCTACTCCTGGGTGTTTATCCCAAAGAAATAAAAACTTGAATTCATACAGAAACCTGTATACAAGTATTTACAGCAGCTTTATTTGCAATAGCCAGAAACAGGAAATAACCCAGCTATCCTTCAACAGGTGAATGGTTAAACTGTGGTACATCCACACTGTGGAATATCACTCAGTAATAAAAAGCAATGCCTATGAATACACACAACTTCAGGGAATTAGCTGAAAGACAAAAGTTAATCCCAAAAGTTTACATACTGTATATATTTTTATAAAACATTTTTAAAATATAAAATTATACAAACGGAGAACAGATTCATGTTTGCCAGAGTTTGAGAGGAATGAGGGTGGGAGGAAGGGATATATGCATGGCTCTAAAAGGGCAATATGAGGGATCTTTATGGAGATGAGAATGTTCTGTATCTTTTTTTTTTTTTTTTTGAGACGGAGTCTCACTCTGTCGCCCAGGCTGGAGTGCAATGGTGTGATCTTGGATCACTTTAACCTCCGTTTCTCAGGTTCAGGCGATTCTCCCGCCTCAGCCTCCTGAGTAGCTGCAACTACAGGTGCCCACCACGACGCCTGGTTGATTTTTGTGTTTTTAGTAGAGACAGGGTTTCACCATGTTGGCCAGGATGGTCTCAATCTCCTGACCTCGTAATCCACCCACCTTGGCCTCCCAAAGTGCTGAGATTACAGGTGTGAGCCACCGTGCCTGGCCAGTGTTCTTAATTAGTGGATCTATGAATCCCCATCTGCAATACAGCTGCACAGAACTAAATCCATATGCAAATGAATGCAAGTAAAACAAGGGAAGTCTGAATAAGATGAGTGGAGTGTATCAATATCAGTATCCTGCTTGTGATACTGTATACTAGTTTTGCAAGATATTGTCATTGGCAGAAACTAGGTAAAGGGTACATAAGATCTCTGTATTCCTTACAATTACATGTAAATCCATAATTATCTCAAAATAAAAACTATAATTGTTTTAAAAGTACCATAGGGCTAAACCAAACATGACTGCAGTCTAAATGCAGCCCTCAACCACCAGTCTGTAACCTGAAGTATGGTGGTTTTGAGCTTCTCACTACATTTGTATGAGGTAGGCATAATGTATTCCCATTTACAAATAAGGAAGCTTGGTATCCTGAAGTGCCTTGTCCAAGTTGTTAATGTTAGTAAATCAACATATTTTGTTACAAGATTTTGTTGGCATAACTTTGGTAATTGTTTGGGGGATAAAAAGTAGTCTCTTCTGATTTCAGCTACTCTTTAACTTACGTGGGGTAACGTCTCGATGAAAGGATGTATGTTGGCAGCTTTGGCTGCACTCACAATTTCATCCTGTGATACAACCCGGCTGTTGTCTCCATAGGCAATATTCTCGGCAATGCTGCAGTCAAATAGGATAGGCTCCTGAGACACGATTCCGAGTTGAGCTCTGAGCCACTGGACATTGAGTTTCTTTGCTTCTTGACCATCGAGAAGCTGAAAACCAAAGTCCACAAACTATAAGAAGGGTATAAAAAAGAAAAAAAAACTAAAAAGTTACTAGATTGTCCATTTGGAGGATCGTTGCATGAGGGTGTCAGCAGCTTCAAAACAACAACCCTCCAAGACTTATACCATTGAGGCCAGCATGGCCAACATGATGATTTTTATGGTGATTAAGCCATCCCTATCTTGGTCTAACTGGCAAAATGGTAGCACATTTGACCCTCTTTTTTCACACTTCTCTTTGTCCTTGTCTGCCCTCCTCCAGCCATCTGTGTCCTACTCTGCGTTAAAGAAGCCTGCATCAAGGTGTCCCACTCAGGTCTGCTGTCCCCAGAATAATCCTAACCCTTCACCTTGACTTGATTTCCCCTTCCCCCATGCACAGCAGTGAAAAAGCTGATCAGAAGCAGGGCCCCAAAAGCTGGTTGACTCTGGTCCTACCTCTACCTCTCTTTTCCCTGAAAACTACTAGCCTTAACTTTCCCTCACCTCTCTGATAGCACTAAGGACAAGAATCCCATGGAAAAGGAACAAGTTACAAAGGGCAGTGTCTTTGGGAGGATTATTTTTGCTGGCAGTGATGGTTTTGTTTTTGTTTTACTTGCTATAGGCAGGAGGCATGGTGCTCCTAGGGAAGTGTTGTAATATGTACTTGAAAATACAGCCTCGTGTAAGGTAAAGCTTACAGGCAAAGGAATAGACACAAGTCCAGCTAGTCTTGATCTCAATAAAGAAAAAAATTCCCACCATCGTATCAGCACACCATATTTACAGAGTTTTGGTGAGCTGGTTTGCCTATGTTACCTGCAGAATAGCTATAATAGCAAAGCAGAAGATTTCCAGAGAGAAACAACTAAATTAGGCTTAACAAGGCTGATTTAGGCTTAACAACTATTAATAAAAGAAACAAGGCTTAACACTTTGGTGACTGTCTAATGGGGACAGGCTCCCAGGGCTCTGTCATGGGTGCTGTCCCAAGGTTATGGCAGATACAAGCATTATCAGTAAGAGTTGGTCTTCACTCAAGGAAGAGAGCCACGGGGCTACATGCTAGAAAATCAATGACAAAAGCCAAATATGAAAGGGCTGGAGGTTGAGGATCAAAGTCAAAGTTCGAGAGCCGAGAATTCAAGGTAAGAGAAGGCAGCAAAACTGAAAGCGGTGGGGAGGCAATAAGCAGGTAGCACCCTGTTTTGGAAGTCAGCTTTGAATTTGGGCAGGAGTCTGTAGTTCACCTTTATAAGCCAGTAAGTCAGTATTTGCTTAGAACAATCAGACTGACTGGAAAGGCCCATGACAGGGTAAAAATTAAACTTATATTCAGTATTTTCTGAGCTAGACTGAATTCCAGACATTCTGTCCTATTGTCCCCATATATTTCCCAGATATGGTGCCAGTTGGGGTTTATAGAATGTGGTCATTGTATCAAACAGGATTCTAGGTCTACATTTGTCCAATATTTTCCATTATGACAATATTGGTTGGGCCAATTAAAATATAGCCTTCAATCAAGTTATAAGGAAATGTGCTCACCACTGTCCCCGCCAAGGGGTCGTAGAACCGCTCCAGGAGCTGGACCACCGTGCTCTTCCCACAGCCACTGCTGCCCACCAGGGCTAGTGTCTGGCCTTTCTTCACCTCCAGGCTCAGCCCCTGAAGCACTGGCACGTTTGCTCGGGTGGGATAGTTGAACACGACTTCATTAAATGTTATATTTCCTTCAAATTTATCCTGAATAAATGTTTAAATGTTGCTATTATAATTGGCCTGATAATTATTGGAATAAGAAATATTATTTCAAGGAAACTTTACCAAAGACTGTAGTAGAGAAACATAAAATTCATATTTGGTATAGTTCTGGTGCCAGTTAATATTGATAGCAAGTTATTATGGTGTGAAATGAAGGTGAGAGATAGGGGTATAGGTGAGATTAGACAAAAAGTCATTACCATGAGTTGTTATCTAACTTAGTTTCTGATTTCTTTAAGATATTCATTTAGCTTTCCCAACTGCTTATTCTGAAGCTGGAATCAAGCCAGTGTCCAAAAGACTCTAAAGGCTTGGAAATTTAGCAACAGTTTCTACCCAAAGTTTCAGTGGGCAGCCCTGATGGCAAACCCTGGCAGTTTCTTAAGTTCACTTTCTTTATCTCACTCACTGGGCACAGCAATTTTATCAGAACATGAAATACCTGGGAAAGTCCTGGAAAGACTGTGTTAAGTCCTAGCCTCTTTACCTACACAGCTGCTTGTATATTACAACGTGTAGCATCTTGTGTCATACAAAGAACACTCAGATGTGAGTTTAAGTTACCTTTATAGATAATAAAGCACAGGATTATTACTCTCATTGTGAACGAACTGCCCTTCTTACCAATTACATCTTAACTATTATAAAAAGTGATTAAAGTCAAATTACTAATTGCATTAACATGGCAGAATTATACCTTTATGTAGAAATGACTAAATTTTTGTGGAAACTATTCAGTTCTAATATATCTGGTTTTCCCTTTTTTTTTTATTTTGATGTGCTAAACTTCAGGATCCTTGAAACCACCTATAAAATTTTTAAATGTCAGTCAAGTTGCCCAAATATTAGCTATATAAATATTACAAATTAAATGAAACACATGTTGGTGTAATCATCACAAACTTATCCTGTAGCTATAATCTAGCAGACAGCAAACCTTAGGGAAAAATTGATCAAGCATCATCAGGCATCAGAGAACTTACAGGCTTCAGCCCCTCTTCACTGTAGCTGTCAATCAGAGGTTGTCTTTCAAACAGCATGAATAAGTGGGCTGCAGACAGCTTAGCTTTAGCATAGTCTGGAGCAAATGAACTGGCATGTCCTAGAGCCACTGCACCAAATACAATTGCAGAAAACACCCTAGACAGAAGTAGAGGAATTCAAAAATTAGCTTTTATAATTAACTCCATGATGTTTGAAAGTCTAAAGGTATAGTGCTTACCAGTATTTTTTCCCTTTACTCCTTAATCATCCCCTTTCTCCCCGACATACATTTTCATAAAATTCTAGTAACAAGAGAAATCTAGGAGAGGGGCAAGATCCACTTCCTGAGGGTTTACCTTTTCTCGACTTGCTTTCTGACTTCCCTTTGCATAGTAGCCCCTAATTTCTTAGGACTACTGTGACTTCCCAAAGGTTTTTACTTTCAAGAAGAGGCTTATAACTGAATCTGATCTGTGAGCTCAGCTAATTTTAGTTGCTGGTTATACTCTTTTTAGAGTTGAGGGAATTGAAGCACAAAGTGTGTAAGGGCCTTGATCAGTTCCAAGTAAGCTTTTTCTGATAAAGCTCTGGCCCTGACTTCCAGTTTGTGGTTTCTTCTGTACTACCACACAAATGATAATCATCATCACTGTAAATAATTTTTATTAGGGAAAATAAGCTTTTACTAGAAATAGCTTTTTATTTACAATTAAAATAACTATGCTATCAGTTATTATGCTTAGTATCTGGGTGATGACATGGTCTGTACACCAAACCCCCATGACATGAGTTTGCCTGTATTAACGAACATGCATATGTACCCCTGAACCTAAAATAAAAGTTAAAATAACTATTGACAGCACTCTGGAAAAAAAAGTCACCTTAAACTAAAGTTCTATTTTCTAATTATATGCTCTTTAAAGATGGATATTGATTATGACAACTTTTAGGAAGGGCTAAAGATCCTGAGATCTACAACTTCACAAAGCAATTTACTTCTGATACCAGCACTACCCCAGAGAAAGGAGTGGGAGTTCTCTACTAATAATGGAGAACTTTAAGTTTTCACCTTCAAATTTCTAAAGCTAAGATATTAAAAATGGGTTTTAATACCTAGGGGCTGGGATGAGAGGTATAGTAAAACTTTCCTTTAAATGCTTGACGAAAAGGTGAGTTGCCAAAAACTAAGTTTTAAAATAGTGATGAACAACCCACATGTGGCTGCATAGCTTCCCTGTACTGCCTAAAGCTGTCTTCTAGGTTTCCATAATTTAACATTTCAATGATTTTAAAAAAGAAAGGAAGCAGGAATAATGTGACTTTCCAACGGTTTTCACTTTCAGAAATGTTCTCAATATTTTTTATACAATAAATAGTTGTACTCTAAGTTGTAATCCCCAGCTGCTAGTTCCATTTGTCCCCCAAAATCACTCCTCACTTTTTACCCATCTCTACCTTCTATCCCCCTACTCCATGTCTGGGGATTCCAACTATCATGAACTGAATCAAAAGGTTTTCTTGTCCTCTGGTTTCATAGGATTTGGCCAATGGAAGGCACAGCAGAGGATAGGGAGGCTGGAAGGGAGTGAGGCCAAGGTATTTGTTTCTTTGGCTTCTTTCTTGTCAGATTGCTTGTGCAGTTGCTGTCCCTCCATCAAAGACCACAGAAAGCACCTATGCTGAGTTCTGGCTATCTTTCCCTTCTCTTGCCTTTAGGCTTAGGGTGGTAGCAGTTTCCAGCTGGGTATTGCTGGGGTGTTAACTTCCTTCTTGGGTACTGCTTACCTTAACACTTTCCAGGCCTTTGTAAATAGACCCTTTAGCAAACTCATCAATTAACCCATTTGCTGTGCCATTTGTTTCCTGCTGGGATCCTGATACAAAGATTATATAGATACATTTTTTCATGGTAATTTTAATTTTGGATGAAAAAAAAAACCCAGCTCTTAACACACTTTCGCTTTTTTGTCTTGACCCTGTTTCAAAAATGGCTGTTCACCACTGCTTTAAAATCATCCCACCAGAGCAGAAACATACCAAATGATCTTAAAAAGAGTTGCTTCCCTCTTTCAAGCCCAGATTGCAACCTAATGGAATGTGCTGAGCACATTATGAAAGAAGGCATCAAACAGAAAGACCAGTAGTTTGCCTTGGAAACCAAGGAAAAAGGAGAGGCTGAGAGGCAAATGTTGGCAGGGCTGTCTCATCTCAGGCCTGGTTAGGGAGAGAGTGCCTTTGCCAGACTTCCAACAAGTATTCCCATCTTGTTTTCCAGGCCATGTTTTGGTTGTAGATAATAGTAAGCTATATAACCCTGTTTTGAGTCCATGGTCACCAGCAACTTTCTAATTATGATTTTTTCTGCCTATATTCTATAATGAGAAAATTTGCATCATCCTGACCAGGATCATATGTACAACTAAAACTGTGCTTTCTGATCATTTTCATAAGCTTAATTGTAGCCCGCAAAATGAAACTGCACTTGGAGTATTAACAAGATCAGATCTCTGTGCCTGCCAGGATGGAAACTGTGGTAAATTTAAATCCCTGACCTCATCTTTGGACACAGGAGTCATTTTTTTCCTACTCTAAACTTTTGCATAAACCTACTAAAACCTTATTATAGAATAATCTTAATATTTCTAAAGCTACTTACAGAATAACATCTCTGAAGCGCATATGTCCATTCACAATGAGATATGCACCAAATCGAAAACAACCGGCATAGGAAAAATACATAAATGCTTGTGAGATACTAAAAGTAATTCCATAGATGTGTGCCTTCTGCACAGAATTCCTGAAAAGCAAATCAGTATACTTGTAACCATCTCTTCAGCCTCCTTTAGCGCTGTGTAGTGGAAAGAGCACGGCTTCTAAGTCTGGCCGAGTGGGTTTAAGTTCCACCTCCAGTTATATTAGTTTGGGTAAATGATAACTTCTCTAAACATTTATACCATGGAAATAATCACTGTAATGCAGAATTGTTTTGACAAAAACCATATAAATGTCTAGCACAGTGCCTAGTTCATAGTGGTTCCTCAAATGATAACTGATATTATTACATATTAATATCTGATGACTCCAATGTTCAACTCCTATTAAGCATAGTTGTTGTTTCAAAAATACCTAAAATGTCAGGATCTGAATTTAAGTTTGAATTATCTGAATGTGATTTACTACTATTATGTTGTTTCCTGTAACTAATTGTACTCTGTTAGGTTAAAATTCATGTTTCAGATTCACAAAAGTTGAGTCCCTGAAGTTTACATAGATATACACCAGAAGTCCTTTCCCAAGCTAGATCCTGCCAGCCGCCCCTGTATATAATTTATTTTGTACAGTTTCTAATTTGACTTCATGCTATACTTTATTGGCTTCTGAATCCTCCAAAAGAACTATAATTGAGTTACTCTCAAATATGAGGGTGTTTTTGGCAAAAGGAAAAATTCAAAGTATTACTAATTTGGATGGTTTAACTTATGTGCTGTGAACATGGTGTTACAAAACTTGAGCATTCTGTGAAGCTATTGAATCTTTAAATTATAACCAAGTTCATAATTAGCTTCACCTTTCTATTCTTCCTTAACCCTCCTTGAAGTTAAAAACAGGTCATCATTAATGGTGCATACATGTTTTATGTCAAACAACAAATGGACACAAAGGTGTAGCTGCATGTTATTTAGTATCATATGAAGTGTGCATAACTGAGGAGATGGCATAAATTGAGACTTTCAAAGATATCTGTTCAAATTTGCAAGTGTTCAAAACTACTGTTCCAGTCTGCAAAATTGTAATCTAAGTTGTGTTCAACTTTGTGTTAAAACATACTCATTTATAAAATCAGGCTGCAGTGGAAATGAGTGGCAAATGGTGCCATTAGGAGTTTCTTGAATTGCTCAACTATAAACCACTGAAATAGTCTGTGTTTCTTTATCTTCAGAGTAGGTTGGATCTGGTCCTCATTCAGAGAACAAATGAAATACTTTCCTCTGGAACATACCCAATAGCAAGTCTCACTTTTGGTTCAGTCTACACACTGCAAAGAAAGGTTTGAGCAATTCCTTAAAGGAATGTTTGTCTTAAGTCACCCAGATAGGTTATTTATGTTGCCTGCACTGATAACCAAAGACTGTGCAATTCTCTATATCTTTTACGTCTTGGAGACCTATTCTTGTTGTTTGCATAAGATGTAAAAAATATAATTCTGTGTCCTAGTCACATCAAAAAGCTACTTATTTTCAGTGACAGAATTGTTGAAAAAAGGCCACCCTTATAGTCATATCATTGTTTGGAGCAGCAGAGCTTTTATTATCTTTTTGGGACAATAATTCAGCCTTAGGAAAGCACTAGGTTCTTAGCAGGAATCATATGGTTCATTACCTGTAAGGTCCATACAATTTTTCAACATACATTGATTCAAATTTTCTTTCCTGGGTCAAAGACACAACTGTCCTAATATTTTCTATTGCCTCTGTTGCAATCTGTAACACAGAATAGACCTTCATTAGAAGTGGTGTTTTCACTTCTGAAATAATGAAAAATAAGCCCTAGGGCTCTGTCAAAAGTATCCTGAAGGTTACGTTGATAGGCTTTAATTTCCTTTAAATTAAAAACCAAAGGCATAATCTGTTCAAGACTAGCTTTATGACAAAACTGGTACTTCTGGCTGTGCTAAGTATGGTAGGCAAGTCTTTGTATGCTCAGGAAGGCTGATCAGCTAAGGGCAAGAACTGTGGCCTGGGAACCAAGGGCCTGGTTCTATTCCCAGCCTGCCACCAGGCAGTTACATGACTGGCCTTAGTCACAACCCCTTTGTGGCCTGGCTTTCTTCACAAGGCAGAGTCCTAAAAGAAAGGATTAGGCTGTGATTTCTAAGGGCCTATTGGAGCTGCCAATTATTTCCTCCCTGAGTATAACTTCTTATAAAAGCTGTCCACCCACAATGGGAAGGAGATCCCAATTGTCAACAACATGAGCATGCTTTAAATCCGTGATTAAATCAGAGTCAGACATCTGACTAATCTGGGTCAATCAGATTTGGTTTCCTGGCCCTGGACACAAGTTTGAACCGTGAGGCCCTGGGGCTTCAGAGGCTGATGTCACATTGGGTATGTGTAAGAAGCTGGTCTGAATATACAGCATCCGAGGAATGGAATAGATGTATAGGAAGACTCAGATATTAGAGCCTGTGGCTGTAAGAGCCAGTTACACACAAACTGCCTGTATTTCTTGCACTTTGGAGTGTCCTTATATCAAATCGCTTTTACCCAAACCAGCCAGAGCAGTTCTCTGATTCTTACAGCCAAACCACCCTTGACAAATGTTGATTGTCTGTGACTTAGCTATTTAGTCTAAATCTTAGTTCTGTAGTTGAGTCATCTAAACCAACAGCACATGGAGCATAAGATCTTAATTTTAGGTTTTTAACAGCTTTAAGACTTTTTTTTTTACCTCAGTTCTTAGCTTCTGCAATGAGCTGAAAGGAAGATATGTGATGCTTGAGACTGAATAACCATAGATTTTTCATTTGTAATAAAGATATAACAGATAGCAATTACAAGAATAGAGAAAAATTACTGAGCTTTTACTATGTCCAAGTATTACCTCATTCACCAATATGATCTCATTTAGCCTCACAACCTTGAAAGGGAAATAGTATTCCTATTTACACAGATGAGAGAACCGAGGCACAGAGAAGTTAACTGAATTGCCTTAAGTTCTAAAGTTAATAAGTAGCAAAGCAAGAATTCCAACTGAGACTATCTGATGTGGAGTCCATGTTCCTAAGCCATAATGCTATTCTGCTACCCCTGCTGTGTAATTTACACAAGGAGAAACCAGTAATGACTTGACACTCCTCTTGACATTCTAGTCATGGATCAACTCCCTTACGGGTTAGCTGTGGCACAGAGGGCCCTTAATCTCAGTGACCAGACAAGCCCTGGGTCAAGATGGTTATGAGGCAGTCTTCCCTCCCCACTCCCTGCCCAGTAACCAACACCCTCACTACCAAGCCCTTTTTGGAAAATTGGGATGGGAATACCTCAAACCCTGTTGTACTTTAATGATGATGAAACTGTACCCAGGTAAATGAGAGTGTTTCTTTTTAAATAGTGATTTGGGGTTTTTCTAGAACCTTCTTTCCGACTCTTAAGCAAGTGCTGACTGAGTAAACAATATTAAACTATGATTGAACTGCTGATATTAACATTTAAAACATTTTTAATCTTTCATATTTAAAATCTTTCATATTTCATATTTAATCTTTCATATTTCATAACCCTATTAGGTTAAAGTAGCTACTAAAAAAATTTAAACTGGCCAGTCTGAGTTATTCAATCTCTGATGCTTAGAATAACAGGGTTTTAGCTGGAAGGAACTTGGGGCAGTATCTGGTACAATTTCTCATTTTACTAAGGTAGGACATGAGGACTAGAGAAGTTGGGGATCTTCTCCAGCCTCACACACTGTGAATAGCAAGACCAAAGCTAATAACCCAAGATTTTGTTTTGTTTCAATACTGCTCAATTCTACCTGCTCTACTCTGACAAAATTCTAACAATTAATGGAGCTAAGACTATTAACTAGATTCAAGATGTTTTCTATCATGTAACTTGTCTAAGAAAAGTTTATTTTCATTCCATCCAACTGACCATTCTCCCATATGAAATGTGGAAAGAAGCAGGATTGAGGGGCAGGGGAGGAAACAGAGCTACACAGTGTTTCTTCAGCAGTTAGTTGAGACACTCAGAAGTCAAGGAAATGATGCCCTAAAGTACCCACAGCCAGCAGCCAAGAGAATCTTCAAGAACTCTAGACACCCAGGGGTTCCCAAGTCCTGGGAACCACATATTGTCCTAGCAAGCTCCAAGTCTTGGAGAGGATGCAGCGTGAAAATGAGGAGAGTGAATTCTGATGGAAACCTGGAGATACTATTATACCTAACGCTGCATGCAGCGGCAGCTGATGCTGATTACAAGAGGACAAGAAAGGATTTCACCAGACATAATTGGTTTAGTGGAAACATGGTTAGTCCGAATGTTAATCTTCCCTCTTAATATGGTGCCTCTGAAGCTAGTCACTCACCCAGTCTCTGACGCCTTCTTCCCTATAGAGATACTGTCTGTTCCACTTCTCATAACTAGTTAAGGTCAGTTGCAGTAATGCTTGTAAAAGGGCTTTGTAAAGTGCAATGCTATAAAACCTATATCACAATTTATATTTATTATCTGCTTCACTTCCTCATGTTTCAATAAAGGATAATAATTACATAAATAAGACTAAGAATGTTCATGGTTATAATCTACATGTGAACATTTCAGTGCATGTACTTGTAAATAAAATGTTTATGTGTAGATTTAGACACTTAAACACATATAAAGAGACCATATAGTAGAGGTAAGAGCTTTGAAACTAGACCTGAACTTAAATCCCAGCCAAATCTCTAACTTCTGTTTGAATCTCAGGTTCTGTATTTCTGAAATTGGGATAACAATAGTGCCTGCCTTATAGGATTATTGTGAAGATGTAATAAATTGGTGCATATAAATATGTAGCACAATAACTGGCACGTAGTAAGGCTCAAGTAAATGTTAAGCCCAATTGCCATTATAGTGAGAACCACAAAATTGAGGCATTACTGCCATCTGGTGGCTGCCATCTTAATTATAGAAATCACAGCCAAAAAGAAGAGGATCTCTTAAATGCCAGCACATGTCCGACCCTGAACAATTCACTTACAGTCTTCTGCATGAAGGTTTGTGAAACAGGGATGACATTTGTCCAAACAGTAGCATTTGGACATGAAGTAAAATGAAATGCACTTTGAATATTCAGAAGTTCTTTATCATAACTATGTTAAGTGCTTTCTATAGGCTCAACGTTTTATGTTAATCACCTTATATTTAAGTTCTAGACATTAATACAGTAAAATATTTCATACACAATTGACAATTATTAGTTGTAGTGGGCACAAACATTTAATTATTAAAGCCTGCATATCATGATAAATAATTCAAATAAAACACATGTCTAAAAACAACACTTAACACCAATTGAAATCTTATTTGACCTACCTTTCCAGCAGCTTCCAGTTCTTTTTTATCTCTTTTGGCATTTCCAGCCAACAATTTCATTTCAACAATTCCTGACACAGCAATAATTGGAACAACTGCTAATAGCAATAGGGTTAACTGCCAACCGTAGATAAATGATATGATAATACCAGTTCCAAGGTTAGCTATATTCTGTGCAATTAAAGCCAACCTGGTTCCTGTGGCCTGGGAGAGAAAAAGCACAAAGCAACTGTAGTTTTAAGCTCCAAATGCATGCGCTCCAGCCTTAGCCTCTTGGTCAGAATGATGAGTGGGTTCTATGCCTGAGCTACATTGGCTTACTTTCATTACAATAAACCCACAACACCTGTGCTTAACTCATGAGGCTCTGCAGACATTTCTTCATTGTGCCTTTACACTCTCATTCCTCTCCTGCCCACCTGAACCAACATTCTAGAACCAAGTAATCAACTTCTCTGCTTTGTGGATGGGCACTGGGGGTGCATGTATTTTTTCATAGATGCAATGTTCAAAGAGGAAACTAACTCCAATGTACCTGGGTAATTTTAAAGACCATTTAATTCAAAAGTGTAAAAGGGAAAGAGACCATCTGTTGTTACAAAGGGTACGTGTCCTAAGAGACATCCACCACAAAGCACATATAAGGATGAATTAGTGTTGTACCACTCAGAAAACAAAGGTGGCTGTAGCAACATTGCAGTCAGCTCTCTGCATCCATTCCTCCTTCTCCTGTTGTGTGGAAGCAGTGAGCTGCAAAGTAACCCACCTCAGCTAAAGGGGTGGGGGACGTAGGCCACTCAGAACACCACCATCCCCTGGAGACAGTGGTTCAGGGTGGGGCATGTGACCCAAATTAGCCCAAATTAGATTTCAGCAAAGGGTTTTTGTTTGGTGGTTGAGGTAGAGGTGTGTGCTCTCTTTCACTGGATGGGAAATAAGGAAGCCTGTAGTTCTAATTACTATTAGCAGCCATCCTGTGACTGCAGGGAATCAGCCTTGGGATAAAGCCAAAGCCAATGAGGGAACCTGGATTCTGGATTAAATCTGGAGGGGGCAGTGGGTCAATCAACCTTGAAGTTTAATCTTCTGCTTATTGTTTACAGCAGTTTTGATTTGAGCTTTCTGCTATTTCTAGCTGGAAGCATCTTAACAAGTGTGGGTATGCTACATGCTTATCTAAAACCATGTTATGTAAAAAACTACAAGTAGAGTGCAGTCTACCTACTCCTTGGACTTGGGCAGCATCTGTGGCAAGTCTTGTAGAAAGTGCACCAGTACTGTTTTTATGGTCATCAAACCAGCTCATGTCCTATGGCATAAAATACACGTTTATGTTAGTTCAAAATTAAAACAAGCAAAGAAAACCAGACAAAGCCTCCCAAAGCTCCAATGCTGAGGAAATTTAGGGGAGACCTCATATGCAGTGTAGAGTCCCTGGCCTTGCTCTGAGCACACACCCCCAGAATCTAGCAGAACCCAGCTTCCTGACTGCTCTGTGGTAGCAGGGAGGGCATCTCTGGTCTAGGGGGGCAGGGCTCACCCAGATGGCTGCCATGCTCCTTGCCAGCTCCTCCCAAGGCTGGGAGGCTGGTAGGCATTCCATTCACCCAATCATCAGGTCTTTCACTATGGACACTTCTGCCCTGATATGGTGTTGTCTCTCATAAAGGGTGGTGGAGCTGTCTTGGACATGTTGTTCTGATAGATTCTAGGCAGGAGAAAATAAGCACTGGTTTCTCACCAAGCTTTTGTTTGATTTTTTGTTAAACACTGATTGAAAGTGTGTCTGATCTCCAGTTAGCCACAGGGATAAAAAAAGAAGCATGTCTGAGACTTAATTTTAATTGTAAGCTACTCATCCATGGCATCTTTTACCTTCACATAAAATAATTTTTCCTGCATAGCAAGAGTTTAGGAGATACTGAAATAGGATTTGTAGACAGATTTAATCAGAATATACTACCTACTATGTGCCCATTTGTGAACAGAAATGTAATCAGTTCCTGTCAATTGAATGGATAATATTCTGGCCCTCTCTTAGGCATTTTCTATAAAAATAGATAATTCATGTTTGCATATTTTCCTATGTCAGGCACTAGAATGTGAACTTACGAGGAGAGCAAATAATGGATTATACAGTACCAGCCACCAGCACAGTGTCTGGTACATGATAAGTAATGTTTGAATAAACAAACAAGTGAATTAATGTGAAAATAGACCTCAAATAAGAAATAAACAAAACTCAATTATTAACATTTGAGGATACCTACAGTTAGTATGGTAGATTGTGGTACATGAGATTAAATGCTATCAACTAGGTTTTTCTTGGTTTAAAGACATCCTGGAGTCTCAATGGACTCACCAGGGCCTGCACAGGATCCAGAAAAGAGATACAGGTCTTCGAAATGATAGTGTCTACATGGAGAGAGATATTTACAGAATAAGCCAAAGCTACCCAAATAAAGCCTATTTCTATGAAAAAAAACAAAAACAAAAAAAAAACAAAAAAAACATGAGAAGTCTTTAGCTCTTGAAGGACCAGGACAATTTGCAGGACTCTGCCCCATCCTTGCGTGAATACCCTGGGGGGAAAACATGCATATCGACATAACAATAAGAACAGTAAGAAGCTTAATATGGAAGAAATGTGAAAGATCAGAAGGCATTCTCCAGCGCACACTCCTACCTGTCTTAGCATTGCTTTAAAAGCCATTGACCGCAGTCTTCTGGTGAGGATCTCGCCAGCTTTCCCAAACGTGAAACCCTGGTTGAGAAAAAAGGCTATGGTCTCTTTTGATCTTTATGTATGTAATTGCACCAGACCAATCATGTTCAACTTTTATGTAGCAAAGTTATGAGTTGTTTTACAGTTGCCACGGATCCTCAAGTCATGTTAATAACCTGAGCAGCCCCAGATGAATCAAGCATGCAACCATAGCAGGAACCTAAGTGCTCCGAAACAAGAATCAGGGACTGAATTAAGAAGCAGACACCACATGGCAGGATGCAGGATTCAATCAGATTGAGCTCTGACACCACCCCATGGCAGGATCCAGTCAGATGGTGCTTCCCGGCATCACTTCATTGCAAGATCCAATCAGATCACACTTCATTACCATACGCTTATAAAACCTGACCCAGCCTCCAGCTTGGGGAGATACTGCTTTGGGAACTAAGCTCTGTGAGCTTCTCACTTGTGACAAGTTATAAAATTCCTTTGCTAAATCCTCCTTGATGTGGTCATTGGGTTGAAACCCACCAAGTGACCAAACCTGCCCGTTGTGTGGGTAACAGTTGCTAGTATTCTGACACAGGTGCCTATATTCACATTGATTTTACATTATTTGTATGTTAACTATTTAAATAACAAAAGTCCAGGACCAAATACGAATTCAAAGCCCCCACGTCAAATTCATGTACTGCAAAATCATCAGTATGCATTACAATCAAAGGCCAAAAATCTTAAAGGTGTCCAGTTCTGGCTTCTAAACCATTCTAAATAGGTTTATTTTTCAAAACTTTGAAGGACAACATCTCAGTGACAAAGATACTGTGTTTAACTACAAAATTCAGTGTGTTCCTACTACTTCCAATAAACCAGTTAAATACAGAAGTAACAAAGTCCTACACACGAATTCATTTTGGCTCATGCAGTGTAAAGGAAGGATGACCTTAGAAACAAGATCCAAATGAGTATGCTGGTTCCTGGTCACAGCTCCACCTGCACTCAGATTGGGGAACAATCAGGGTACTCTTCCTTCCCCAGCCTCTTTGGGACAATTTCCTACTTTCTAATTACCACATCCAAACTGGAGAGGAGTCCAGATATCCAGAAGTGGGCTTACTTCTGGGACGTGTGAGTCTCCAGCCACAGTGTGAGTGTTGGGGTAGCCGTGCCGAGGGCACACGGGGGAGTGCACATCAGAACTGTTTACTAAGCCAGGGGGATAGATGATCAGTGCACCCAGTGAATCGGCCCCAGGTGTTCCTTGTCCAGGACCAGACTGCCCTCCCCCTCCATTTGCTGGCGGATTGCTACAGGTTCTATGCATCAGCCCACTGTTCCTGCGGCCCCTGAAACACATTTTCTAGCTGCACTCCCTAGCATGCCAGGGACTGGGGCTGGATCAAATCATTGAGTTGTGTCTAGTAGGGCAATGATTTCTAAATAAAAAACTTGGTTTACTTTGCCATTGGTTCAACAATAATAAAAGAGAAGCATGCTGGCATGACTAGGAAACACTATTTTGCTGACTTGATGGATTGTATTATATTCGAAAGGCCTATGTGGTGCCCACTGGGTTAAAGAGACAAAAGAAATTACAGAGAAGTCTAACTGGGTAGAAAAGTACAATTAGAGAGTTTGACTAGTTTATTTTGGCCAGGTCTACAACGTTAGAATGCAAAATATTATGTTCTTTCAAATAGTTCATCAATTAAGTAGGAAAAGATCAGAGAAGTTACTTGATATTCTATAAAGAGTAACAACAGAAAAGAGAATGCTATTGGACTGTACTTTCCCAGTTCCCAACCTGTTGAATTTAAGTTACTCTTATGTTCTGCAGTAAACTGAGGTCTCTTGTCCTTGGTAATGAATGTCTGCTGAGGGCAAACTTGTAATGTAATATAAGTTAGGACACAGGGAAGTCACACTTCCCCCTGATAAGGAGTCTACCCTCCAGCAGAGCCTTATGCCAATCATGTTTGCAATTTATTTCACTGTAAGAATTTGGAAGCTCCATTAGGTTTAATTTAATTTCTCTAATTAAATTATAAACTTGATGAGAAAGGCAAATCATGGGTACCTACCTGAAGGAAGAAAGTAAAAAAAGAAATAATTCCCAGAAATAAGAAAATCAAAGAGAATATGTTGCACTTCTGCTGCTTCACTGCATCATCGCCTGGTCCAAAAATCTACAAAAGAATATTTAAAACGCCCACTTGGATTACATAACTGATCCTTCTTCATTCCTCTCATAAATAGTGGCTTGAGTGTCACATGTTTAAAACTAGGCTTCAAATATGTAGGGTTTTGGTAATTGTGGTAAAATATACATAACACAAAATTTACCATTTTAACCATTTTTAAGTGTATAATTCAGTGGCGTTAAGTACAGTCACATTGTTGTGCAACCTTCACCAGTATCCATCTACAGAACTTTTCGCCTTCCCAAACTTCCCAAACTTGATACCATTACACTGACTCCCCATTCCCTCCTCCTCCCAGCTCCTGGTAATCTCTATTCTACTTTCTGACTGCATGGTTGTTAACATAGGTTGACATACTGCATATGGACTGTGAGTGGTTGCACATTTTAGCATTTGTTCCTCTTCCTATATGTCCCTTGCTCCCTGTGACTCCTCCCTGTCCCAGCCCTCCACTTCTCATTCCATCAGGCTTCCACCCAGAGGGGCCTTTCCTGAGCATCCTATCTGAAACAGCACCCCCAGCTAACACCTCTCTATTACCCTACCCATCTTTTAAAACTCTTGTTATCCCTCAACATGTTACATGTTTGTGGGGTTATTTTTTTGTTTGTCCATTGCATGTCTTCCCCGACAGAAACCGCTGTTTGAGGGCACAACTTGGTTTATTTGTGTACCACTGTATCTCCAGTGCCTGGAGCAGCACTAGGCAGACAGATGCCCCAAAATATATAGTCCACATTGCCTTGAATTGCAAGAGAGCCAGAGCTTGCTTTGTTTTGAAACTTTAAAAGATTTGGAGGAGGATCTTTTCTAATTTATTTATTTTTTGGCTTGTGGTCTTAATTGTGGATCGATGTCCAACATCACAAAAATAATAAACTCGTAACATGATGGAGAATTATTTATCCTCAACAACAAAGTCTCTCCAATAACATTAGAGCTTGACTGAAATTGTAGAATATGAATTCTGGATTTCATGGAATTGATGGAGGCTTTATATTTGTGATAACTTCCTTTAAATATCCCCCAATTAATTGAATGATTGGCTAGTATGTTTTCTTTCTTAGTCTTGGACTCCCCAAGCCTTGGAAGGATTGCTAAAATGGGGTGGCTATCGCTTTTTGAATACTTACTACAAGGCACACACTCTTAAATGCTTTCCAGATAGTTACCTATATAATCTCTTAATCCTCAGCCATGTTATGAGGTAGATTTATTGTATAGATGAAGAAACTGAGGTACCGAGAGCTATTGAGTGGTGAGGCCAGTCTATACCCAGTGCCTGGACTCTTATTAAACTCTATGACTTTAACCCCTCCCTGCTCCACTCTCTCTCCACCTCACTGTGCGACTTGTACCAGCTTTTCTACACAAACAGATTGGGGATCATTGTCTGACACCAGTTTCACCAAATGAAGAGAGCTCATTAGAATGCCTTCTTCATTGATTTTACATTTTATAATTTCATTAATATCATAACTTAGAGTGATTCAAAGGCTACTTATCTTTTCCCTCACAGCTTTTCTCAAAAGGGATTTAAGGACTTTGGCTTAGTTTAATTTAAGGCTGCTTAATCCCAGAATGGAGCCAGTCAGTGAGGTTGGGAGAAGCAGCAGCTGATGAATTGATCTAATTCAGGCTGTTATGTGGTGTTTGCAAACTTACCGCTATGATCTCTGAGAATATGACTGAAAATGCCGGCTGAAGCCCCCCATTGGCAATGGCACATACTGTTCCCACGACAAAGTAGGGCCATTCTGTTTTATTCAGTTTCAGGACCTTCAGAAAGGACACTGGTGGCACATTTGCTTCCTAGAACATATAAACATCAGGGCAAACTGGTGATGACACAACAGTTACCAGAGTCTGTAGACATAGAAAAGGCATGGCCATTGCCCTCAAGGGACTCGCAAACTAGGTGCAGAGAATGACAAGCAAACTACTAGAGAGTAGGACAGTATATTATAACATGTTAACAATGTTTACTGATTACACATCATAAGCTGAGTATGGGTTGTTCGGCCAAGAAATAACCTTCATGGGATGCTTAGCCCGTCCCTATTCTGGCCTCAGCAGACTGCGAGGTAGCAGGATCTGGGCACAAATACCTTGGCATCCAGCTCTGGAGTTACACAACACTGTATTGGTGTGACAGTCATGGCTGGACCACATAAGCCGAGCTGCAGTTTTCTCATATATTATGATACAGTCCTGCCTCTCTAACAGGGATGATATCTGGGTCAAATGAGACAATACACCTGAGTAGATGGATAAACATCTTTGCAAATGTAGGAAACCATTACTAACTGGAGAACATGGGCTTGGCCTCCTCACCCCAAAACCTTGCCTTTTCTGTACCATATTTCCAACTCACAAAACCAAATTAATTACATTCCTTTTCTCTTACCACACTTTTCCCTGTGCAGACTTCTCTTATTTCATAGCTTAGCTTGTCTGTGATTTTTTTGTTTACATATTTCCATTTCTAGTATGTAACTTTTTTTAAGGTAAAGATTATGTCTTTATATTCCTAGAAAGTAGTCCAATTCCTGGCACATATAAGATTCTCAGCAAATGTTTAATTAAATGTCTGGCCAAGCATGCAGGATTTAGGTCTCATAAAGAATGTTTTGATGATAGAAGCAGTTTAACATTAAACTTGAGACAGAGGTGACTATGGAATCCCAAAAACTTGAGGTCACTGAGAAAGGTTATATTTATATCTCTATAAAACAGAGAATATAGAAGTAGGTTCTACTGAGCCTTCTTTCAAATTACCCATTTTTTCTGTATTTCAGGGTTTTTTTTTTTCCTCCCTAGTTAACATTATCTTTAAGTCCCTATCTCCAGCATAATGAATGAATCTTTTTCTTTGGTTACTGCTCTTCAGCACACAAACAGGTCCCTCTAATCAGACTTAATCTCTCCCTCTCCTTTGGCATGTTGTTTTCTCCCTATGATGGTACTTGGGACAATCTTGTTGATTGCAGCATTTCCTGCCTCCCCCTCTTCTCTGTGCATTTCTTCAAGAGACGTGCTCCTATAAAATACTGGAGTTTAAAGAGATAGCAAAATAACTCTCAAAATAAATGAGGAAATGAAAAGTGGATAATTTCATAGCCAAAAGAGGGGAAATTGCTTATCTGACTTATAATAATGACGCTCCAAAATGGTACAATTGTTATTCTTCTTTCTATAAATATACCAAGATTAAGACCTCTAAGAGAGTCCTTGTAATTTCTGCAGTAATAGCATGCACAGATAAAAACAGATGCAATAAATTATTGGTAGAATTAGTTTTCTCAGGCCAACACAAGAGTAAAAATAAACTCAGTCTTCATTAACAAATAACATCAAAATATATCAAAACTATATCTTGAAATAAGGAAATCTTTTTTTGGAATGGATTCCCTCTGTATAATAAAATTATTTGTTCCAGCCTGGGCAACATGGTAAAACCTCGTCTCTACAAAAAGCACAGAAAAATTAGCCAGGTGTGGTGGCACACACCTGTAGTCCCGGCTACTAAGGAGGCTGAAGTGGGACAATCAGTTGAGCCCGGGAAGTGGAGGTTGCAGTGAGCCAAGATTGCACCACTGCACTTCAGCCTGGGCAACACAGCAAGACCCTGTCTCAAAAAATAAAATTAAAAATAAATAAATAAATAAAATTATTTGTTAACTGGAGTTAATAATCTCCTAAATCCAACGTTGCTATTTCTCACCATTCTCCTCTTTTTCTAAGTAAGAGAATTCCAATCTAATTTAGAATGTCAATGCATACAGCAAAAAAAAAAAATTGAATTTTCCATACTCATTGCTAAGTATGGCCATGTGATCGAATTATGACCAATGACTTATAAGTAATAGTATTGTGTGGGAATTCTGGAAAACCTCTTTGTTTCTTCCTGTTGCTTGGACCACAGATGTGATAGGTAGGGCTTCAGGAGCCACCTTAGATCATAAGTGACCCTGAGGATGGAAACCTGATGCCAGGGTAGTGCAGATAAAGATGAAGGGAGCTTGTGTCTATGGGGACTGTGGAGCTACTGTTCTAGCCCTGGGTTTTTCACCTCTAAGATTTTGGCATGTGAAACAGAAATAAAAACTCTTAATTTGCTTAAACGGATGCTATTCTGGGTTTCCTAATATAGATAATCAAATGTAATCCTACCCAATAGAGTATGCAAATATCAGGGCCTCTCGTTTTGGACCAGTCTTATTACCTCTGGACCTCAAAGATGAATGTCAAATTTAATTTTAATATTAAGCATCTCAGCGTAAAGACTACATTTCTGGATTTTTTTTCCCTTGAAAACCCATTTATAATTGGAACTGATTTCAATTCATTGTCAAATACATTTAAAATTTGAAAATTTTTTTCTTTACAAAGAGTATGGCTCATAGTAGCAGTCATCTGTGCCTGAAAAATATTTGCAAGGCTAAGAATTTCAATAATTGTAGCAAAACTACAAAGTAAAAGACTTAATTTAAGTGAAAAACAACTTACAAGTCCATCGGTTTCCACATCAAGGCTCTTCTGACACATTTGTGAATTTTTAAGGTTTTTCTGAGTAGAATGCCTAAATAGGCGAGATTTCCAGCCATTTGGGGCCATTCTAGTGGCAGCCTTTTCATCATTTAGTTCAAATTCTTCTGACTGGATCTGGCTTCCTGATGTCTGAAAGAATATCAAGACATTAAAGTGTGTGTGTGTGTGTGTGTGTGTGTGTGTGTGTGTCTCCAAATGGATGTAACCTCCAAGTTTAGAATCATAAAGCAATTTGGAATATTACATGTATCAAGATTTTCAGATTTCCTAACTGCTTCTCAATCAAGGATAGCTAGAAAACTATAAAGTATAGAAAGGTTAAATTCAATTTGAACAATAAGAAAATCGGAGTATAAGAATATTTTCTAAAAATTTAAAGACACATTTTTCGTAATCCAGAAGGTATATAGGAATTTACTTAATATGCAATAATCCAGGGAACAAGTCATGGCCACCAAGAAAGGGAAGAAGACTACATGGAAACACTAACAAGGGCTTGTTTTTAAAGCTACAAACAAGAAAAGCTGAATCAAAGGGCCTGGTCACTACCCACGGGAGGTAAAACTGTCTTCCTCGACTGGCTGAGTATGGTCATCTTCCTTCCTCACAGTCCTGCTCTCATGCACACAACGAGACCCAACATGCAGGCTCAGCCTCATTGCTGGCTGTGAGATCAGTTCTCTTTTTAATGGGAATGGGGGTGGGGGTGCTGATCTAAGGACTTCTAGTTCACTGCCTAGTAAGGGTGAGGGAACATCAAGCCCTGCTGGAGTTGGACTTTGGACTGGTTCCCTATTTGCTTCCTCCACTATTAAGATGTGTCCAACTACACATCTTAATAGTTTGTTCAGGGTCTTAGTCCTTGTAGTAGTGTCTTGTTCTTGCTCCTCCCTTCAAGACCTGCCCTGAACCCAATCCTTTGGCTAGTGCCTTACTGTACATACAATAGCCAATCATGATCTCTTAGTTTTCCAGTTGCTCATTCAACATCTGACAGAACACTGCCCATGTGCTTATATATTGCCTTGAACCACATTGCAGTGATATGTTCTGCTTGGTGGATTTCCTTATTTGCTCATTACTGAATCAGTTTTATACCATCTCTCAACAAAAACCAACCTAGGCTGCAGACTTTGTAATTGATCCCTTGCATTCTCACTGCCATCTGTTCCCACACTGCTACCAGATTTATTTTCCTAAAGGGCAGCTCAAAATCATCCCCAGCTTCCCACTACCTGCCCAAGCCTGGATCCCCAAAAATCTAGCTCATGGCAAGTCAAACCAGACCACCTCTCATGAATACCTCCCCAGAACTTTTCCTCTTTTGGTAATCTCATCCATGCTATCAAGAGGTCCATCTCAATGGACAGTTCTTCCAATAAGCCCATTCAGATTTTAGCTTCCTTCTATGACCAAATGAACATTACCTGTCTCTTTCATAATATTTTTTCTGTGCCTTACCTAAAACACTCAGTTGGTGTTGGGTGCTTCAGCTGAAAGGTCATTGAGCTCCAAGCCAAGATAGCCACTTTTCCACCAGGTGTTAAAAAGTATCTATTTAAAACCAATAGCCCTCATTTCTTCCACCCAGGTATACTTCAGTTGTCTCAAAGATTTAATTGTAAAAAAGCAGAACAAAAAATGCTGAAAGGAAATGGGGTAAATATCCTTTCGGAGAACAACCTCAAATCCTGAAGACATGGAGGAAAAAACTGACAACCTAATTACATACATTTTAAAGCTTCTTTATGGCAGCCAAATACAACAAAGTGAAATTGAAAGGAACAAAGCAGGAAAAAAAAATCTCTCCAATACACGCAAGAGAAGAGTGTATTTTCTTTTTATGTAAAGAGTTCTCACAAATCAATGAGAATATCATGAACAACACAACAGAAAAATATCCTAATACAGGAACAAATACTTTCACAGAGGAAGAAAAATATAAATGGCCAATAAAAATGTAGAAATAAGCTCAATCTTATAAATAGTTAAATTTGAAGATACTGTTTAACTCTTTAGGCTGGCAAAGATGAAAAATAAATACGAAATAGCTATCAGTGGCTGTTTGTAGGGATTTGGCTTATGATGACTTTCAAGTTTCTAGAATGTAATGTTTGGATTTTTTAAAAAAATGCTTGATTTTTAAAAAGAATGCATTACCTTTATAATCAGAAAAAAATTAAGATACATTTAAAAGAAACAACTAAGAGCCAACAGTCTACCTAATGGAAAAGCAGTGATACTTGTTAGAAACAATACCAAAACAAGGGTGAATGAAAACCAGGTTGGTCTTTGAAACTTGAGAAAAGAGTACTGCATTAGCTTGAGCATCTGCTGACTCTCAGGCTCACAGTGGGTCTTTCCCTCATCTCTCCAGCCTCACCAAGTAAGTGGGAGGGCAAAACTCAAATCAGAAATGGGAAATGTGGGGGTACCCAGGTGGAACTATTCAAAGGGGCTGAGAATCACAGAATGCCAGAGCTGGTAGAAATATCAGAGGTCATCTTACCTGAAGCCCCTGCTCATTTAGCAAGTGAGGATAACAAAACCCAATTTGGTTAAATGACTTGCTCAAAGCTATTGCCTAGTTGGTGACAGATTTCTATCATGCCAGACCACTGACTGTTCAGTCTTCAAATGTACAACTTTTCCTAAGAAAGTAAGCTTGGGAATTTGATATAGAAAGGTCAGAGCTGTCTGCATCTCTTTAGCAGTCTCCCAATCCAAGTCCTGATGGAAGCAGAGGTCATTCTTACAAGAGCTTATGGCAATAGGACAGCCAAGTGGTTATTTCACTTGAGGATTCAACATGTCATTATGGGCAAAATCACAGACCCTTGGTAACCACTCATGAAATTAAAACTAAAATGGATTTAAAGTAACATTTTATGCATTCCTAACTAGTGAAATGACAAAGACCCTTTATGGTGGCTAGGCCATATGGTAGCATTCGGCAGAGACACTATCATTGATTCCCTCCACTGTAGAACACCCTCTGGCACATGCAAGCCTGAGTTATAAAACTTTTCGTCATTTCATTTGGTATTTTCATTTGGGGGAATTTGCAAATTTTAGTAACCACCATTTATCATCATCTAATTTGTGTCAGGTCTTTTTTTTTTTAAAAAAAAAAAAAGAAAAACAGCTTTTTAAAAATATAATTAACATATCACAAAATCCACCCTTTTAAACATTTCAGTAGGTTGTTTTTAGTACACAAGTATTCAGATGTTTATTTTTCTAAACTTATAGCAACCTCTCATGGTAGGTTTGGTATTCCAAATGTAGAAACGAAGGCTCAGAAGAGTTACTTGTCAGAAAGCAAGGCAAAATTTTGACAACCTTTTTTGATCTACTTGTGCTCACAGTGGCAATATTTAGAATAGAGAAATACTGGAAACAGACCAAATATCTAACTTTAGAAAAATGACTAATTTCACACATTAATAAAATGAACTTCTGAGCACCCATTAAAATAATAGTATGTGGATGACGTATATCTGAAATGTTAAGAAAAAAGAACAAAAATATGTGTGTACATGCTAATTACAGTTGTATCAAAGCAAATGTATATACTTTCACAAATAGAATCGTTCATAGAATAAAATATTCTTAGGTTATTTATTCTGCAATGTTGCTCAAGTGACTGAGTATAATAACATGTCTTAATAATATGAAAAACCAATCATTATCAATATAACCTGTTTTAGGAACTAGAATGAATGAGTGCTCTTTTCTTTCTTTTTTCTCTGAGACAGAGTCTCGCTCTGTCACTCAGGCTGGAGTGCAGTGGTGTAGTCTCAGGTCATTGCAATCTCCACCTCCCGGATTCAAGCGATTCTCCTGCCTCAGCCTCCAAAGTAGCTGGGACTACAGGCGTGCACCACCATGCCCAGCTAATTTTTTGTATTTTTAGTAGAGATGGGGGTTTCACAATGTTGGCCAGGCTCGTCTCGAACTCCTGACCTCAGGTGATCTGCCCACCTCAGCCTCCCAAAGTGCTGGGATTACAGGCATGAGCCACTGCACCTGGCCTGCTTTTTCCTTTTAAAAGACAAACTATTCACTTCCTAGAGCCACAAATCTTGATGATGGTCTTATTAGGATCATCTGGGAAACAATTTTAGATCACATGAGACCTCCCTCAACCACTAGAGATCCTGGCTGGTCAAAAGGAACCCTACAGCAGTGCTCTGGAAAAGGCGGTCACTTGTCAATGACTTCCCTAAAATGTTTCTGGTAAAGTCTCTGGCATTCCATATAACTCAGAGCCGGGGCTCCTCGGACAAGTCGAAACACTTTTCTCGTCCTCTGACTCCCAAAACTCTGACCATCCCATTATGGTAGAAAGGACCTTTTAGTTTGACCACATTCCCCAGGCAATTAGGAATCTGTCCTAAGGAATATATCCATGATGTTTTTGGCACTTTCCCCTATTTTCTCACCTGCTACCTCTTTACAGATTCTGATTTAAAGTCTCAGATATACACTTTTAGGCATCTTGTTGAAGTTTCTTCTTGCTCAGTATAGCATTCACTGGATCATATTTTAATATTTAAAGAACACTATATTGAGGAGCAAATAGCAGAAAAAATTCCTGAAAAGCAAGTACCTGCATGTTGACAAGTTTGAAGTACACCCCTTCCTTCTTCATCAGTTCGCTGTGGCTTCCTTGCTCCACAATTACTCCATCCTCAAACCCAGCGATGACATCTGCATTTCGGACCGTAGACAGTCGGTGTGCTATCACAATGGTGGTCCGGCCTTCTCTGGCCTAAAAGAACAAAAATGTGGTGCATCAGGGTTACAGTATTGGCACACTGTCAATTAACATGCACAGTTAAGCACTTGGATGAATGCTGTTTGTAGATGATTAGAGAGTAGTTTATACTCCAGATCTCTGCGTGATTATGGCAAAGGCATCACTCTTTATGAAAAATTAAAGTCAGACGAGTTTGGGACCAGACAAGTGGCTAACCCCTTCAGTAGGAGGATGGGTGATTTCTCCAGAAACCTATGGTAGTGTCAGTGTTTACTTAAGAAAAATAAGGGTTTGATCCTTCTTCAGTGTTTTCACACTTGTCTGAGAAGCCCTAGCTCTAAGTTATATGGAATGCTAGAGACATCACCAGAAATATTTTAGGGAAGTTGTTGCCAAGTGACAGCCTTTTCCAGAGCACTGCTGTAGGATCTCTTTTTAAGAGCCTGATCTTAACTAATTCTGATGAACTGAAAGCAGGCAGTTTAGGTGAAAATGTACCTTGGGATCAGGACTATTAAAATTATGGTTCAAAAGCCATCCAAAGCATAATCTCTAGAGTAAGGCAAGTAAATCTGCTCTTTAACAAGTGCCCTAGGTGATTTTTATGCATGCTAAAATCTACAAATCACCTGTCTAACTAGTTTAGTGGCCTCATATGTTTGCTGGGTGGATTTATAAATGGGCATTTAAACCCTGGATAATGCCAATAAAAGTATTGATATTATGTCATTAATAATGGCTACTCTTTCTGACACTCATTAGCCCTTTTACCCAATAGCTTAAGATCACTCCTACTCTGAGACAATCAAACCACATCATTAGGATGGTTATTAGAGAATAGTCTAATTCACCTAAGTGGTTAACATATAAATTAAAAATGAGAGGCTAGATTCATAATAGGCAAAAAGTGGAAACAATCCAAATATTCATCAATTGGCAAACAGATTTAAAATGTGGTATATCCATATAATGGAATATTGTTAGGCCATAAAATAGAATGCATTTTGATTCACATCACAACATAGATGAACTTTGAAAACATTGTGCTAAGTGAAAGAAGCCAGTCACAAAAGATGACACATGGTATGATTTTATTTATATGAGATATCTAAGAGTAGGCAAATTCATAGAGACAGAAGGTAGATTCATGGTTGCCAAGGGCTAGAGTGAGGGTGGAATGCAGAGTGACTGGTTTCTTAATGAGGTGGTGAAAATGTTCTGGAATTCGATAGCAGTGATGGTTGTACAACCTTGTGAATATTCTAAAAACCCCGGAATTGTATATTTTTAAAGGGTGAATTTTATGGCATGTGTTTGTATCTCAATTTTTTAAAAATAGCCATGAAAATTCTGAAAAAGAAGTTAATGAGAGGAGTAATGAGAAGGAAATATCTCTAACAGATATTAGCATATAAAAAGCTACAGCAATTAAAATAGTAAAACCTAGGAAAAACCAGCACGTGAATGGGTAATTTGATCAATAGAACCAAATGGAGAGTCCAGAAATAGACATAAACCATCTAAGAATTTAATTACAATAAATATGGTACTACCTATTGGTAAAGAAAAGGTGAATTATACAATAAATGGTATTGGGACAATTGTGCAGCCATTTAATAAAGTAATGTGGTATTTCTACTTTAGTCCTTACATTAAAATAAATCCAGATGAATCAATTGTTTTTAAGTAAATATAAAAGAGAAACATCACTGGAAAGAGAGAGAGGCTAGAACACAGCTCTCTTGGACAACATTTAAGACTATTATTTGATTTTTAGTATATAAGCCCCAAAGAAGCACTCACAAATATTTACTTATATGGAAGCTGGGTTTAGTCCATATATAATAAGGCATATACAAAATAATTTGATTACTGTAATTATATTCATGATGCTAACAGTGATGAATAAATTGCTAACAATGACTATATTATCATGATGATGATAATAGGTTGATGATATGTCAACATATATACACAAAGGAATTGGAATCAGATGTATGAGTGAATGATTGCTATGTAAAAGAAATAAAGTACGTGTTCATCAATTTAGAAGTAAGCAACTGTCACCTTTGACCAAGAGAAGTTGGCCAAAGTAGAGCTTTGACACAAAAAATTGTTGTTGTTTTTTTTTTTTTTTTTTTCAGAGCTCCCAGACACCCTGATGATGACAGGACATTGATAAATAAATATCCTAGATTTAGGGACACCAGCTATTATGAAATTTAGACCTTTGACTAATTTGGGATGTTCAGGGATGAAAGGTGGGCCTAAACAAAGGGAGGACTAATCTACTAGCCTTTCTGGAACTTTGGTAAAACAGCATCAGAATGAAACCTTTTGGAATCTTTTTATAAAAATCACCATAAAATCACCGTTTTCATTCTTTTTTTTTTTTGAGATGGAGTCTTGCTCTGTTGCCAGGCTGGAATGCAGTGGCATGATCTTGGCTTATGCAACCTCCACCTCCTGGGATCAAGCGATTACCCTGCCTCAGCTTCCCCAGTAGCTGGGACTACAAGTGCCCACCACCACACCTGGCTAATTTTTTTTTTTTTTTTTTTTTGGATTTTAATAGAGACAGGGTTTCACCATGTTGGCCAGGATGGTCTCAATCTCCTGACCTCGTGATCCGCCAGCCTCAGCATCCCAAAGTTGTGGGATTACAGGCGTGAGCCACCACACCTGGCCACCATTTTGTTTCTTTTCCTGTTCTTCTATGATAACACCATGATCAGGAGTGTGCATGTAGGTATGAAACTGTATTGCCTTTCTTTAAAAGAGTCAAAATACAAAATCTGCTGTTATATCTTTCTTCAAGATCTTATATTTAATAGCATTTTATTTATTTTGACAAATAGTTGCTATCTGTAGAGTCAAAAGCTAATATGGTCATCACTATTAAAATTTATTTTAGGGCCGGGCGCGGTGGCTCACACCTGTAATCCCAGAACTTTGGGAGGCCGAGGCAGGCGAATCACGAGATCAAGACATTGAGACCATCCTGGCCAACATGGGGAAACCCCATCTCTACTAAAAATACAGAAATTAGCTGGGCGTGGTTGCATGTGACTGTAGTCCCAGATACTCAGGAGGCTGAGGCAGGAGAATTGCCTGAACCCGGGAAGCGGAGGTTGCAGTGAGCCAAGATCACACCACTGCACTCCAGCCTGGAGACAGAGCGAGACTCCGTCTCAAAAAAAAAATTATTTTAATGTAGACATATTTTCTCAATGAGCTGGGCCATCATAGTCAATTTAGTAAATATTTATTTAGCCTCTACTATGTGCAAGGCACTGGGCTGTTGAAGAGATTCAAATATGAATCTTTTTATTAATTCTGCCTCCTGGGGTGGTTTATTCTTCCTAGGAAAGAGAAGGCATAAAAATAAGTAGGTAACTACAGTAAGCTGTTGCCACACAAGGAAGGCCTGATCAATGTATAAAGGATCCACAAAATAAAAATATTATTCTTCCAGGATGGGTAATTGAGTAGAAATAACAGTAGATATAATAGTGATACATCCTTATGGTCCTCAGAGGCAAGACTACAATTTATGAAATTCAACTTTTCATCATTAAAAAGAGAGTTGGATTGTAAGTTAGAGTGACTGGCTAACTGATTGATTGGTATCTTCTTTGGGGACATAGTAATAAAGGGTTTATCTTTAAAGGTATGGTTTATTGTCTGTAAAAATATTAGCATAATTACCTTGCAGTGTGGAGCCAATTAGTGCAGATTATAAACTGTTTTCATAGCAACTATGGCAGATTAATATGGCCACAAACACTTTGCAGCTTCTCCTATACAGAAGTGGAGCCAATTTCTCTGCCTCCTCATATCTGGGCAGGCCCTGTAACTTGTTTTGACAAAGAAAATGTAAAGAAATTGATTTCTACAATTTCTGGAGCCCAGGCCTCAAGGGATCTCACACAGCTCGTCTGTTTGCCATCTTCGGATGTTACCCTGGAACCGCAGTGAAAGGAAGTTTCTCTAGCCTCCTGAAGGATAACTGGCTTCAGGGAGGAAAAGCAACCTGCCTTAGGCAACAGCCATCCCCAACTGCCAGGCACATGAGTGAGGCCACTTTGAATATTCCAGCCCAGGTGACCCTGAGCTGAAATAAGACTAGGCAAAACCAACAGAAAAACCACTTTACCAACCCACAAATTTGTGGGCAATAAAAGTTGTATTTTAAGTCACTAAATTCTTGGCTTAAAACAACTGATACAGAAATTAGTAATTAGATTGGTATGCTGCTGTAACCAAAAACCTAAAACATGTGACATTGGCTTTGGGATTGAGTGGTAGGTGGTGGTTGAAAGGAAGGTGATAATATTGTTAGTGGAGACTGAAACAAGAGTAAAGAAATTGCTATTAGAGGATAGAAAAGGAGTACCTTCATTATGTAACCTTGGAAAATTTGACAAAAATATTTCCTGCAGTGACTTGGAAGAAAGACATTTTACTTAATGAACCTGTACATCTGGCTGAGGAGATTTCAGACATCTCTAGACAGACTATAGGAGAGACAAGTGGATTCCCCTAGCTGTGTACAATGAGGTTTGGGAAGAGAATGATCAGCTAAAGAATGAGCTACTTGGTTACAAGGAGAATTTAAGACAATAAAGCAGACCCCAGTACTCAGTTGGAAAATGAAGTTGTTAGTCATCCAATAAAATTAGGGCAAAAATCAGAGTGTGTAGGTGTAAGATTTTTAGCAAAAATCTCTGAAAGATTTTAGGCAGAGCCTAGTGGACACTTTCAGCTACAAAAAAAAAAAAAGCCTTAAAAACTATTTAAGAGTTTTCTGATGGCAGGTTCACTTGCAGCCCAAAGAAGAGAGGAGCCTGTCTCAAAATAAAATATATAGGCATAACTTCTGGGGCTTGAGTAAATGACAGCTAGATTCTAAGTAAACTCACAAAGTCTTTAAGACAGTCCTTCAGCTTAGTCTAAAAGAGACTGAAAAAAATACAAAATGAAAAGGGCCCCAAATTTCTATGGGCAGAAACATGCAAAGAAATCCACTCAGCTGCAGATACAGATCATTTCTTATGAAAAAGGAAAGCCCTCTTAGAGGGAAGGTAAAAGACCCTGGAACTAAAGAGAACAATGGACTAGGGAACCCACTCCTGGGGAGCAGAATCAGGCCTTAATCAAGAAACATCCCATTTCCCTGGAGTAGTGGGGTAATTGGCTGCATGTCAGAATTGCTATGGCCAAGGACTGCTATGAGCTTTCTGTTCTCATCCTTTTTGAATGAGTATCTGCTATGATTATCCTGTCCCTGCACCGCCACTCTATGTTGAGAGTATGTGTTGATGATAACTTGTCTTTTTCATAGGTCTGTGGGTCAAGATGAGCTGAAAATGAAGACCCTCATCTGTATTAGACCACATGCAGATCTTCAGATACTGGTCTTTGAGCCAGATGCTATCACTGTATGAACATTTTGAGGGTCTGAGGAAGAGGTGACCTTCTTTTGCATGTGGAAGAAATGTAAATAATTGTGACAGAGGGCATGCTTTAGAAGATTCAATATGGTCACAGATTTTTTACTGCTCACCCATTAAGAGGCACAGTCTGTTATCTCCTCAAATCTGGGCTAGCCTATGACTTGCTGTGACCAACAAGATGAGTTCTGGAGTCTAATCCTCTGGACACTTCACACATTAGTCTTTGCTCTCTGGGTACACTGCCCTGAAACTTTCATATAAGGAAGCCAGGTTAGCCTATTGTATGAGTGTGAGAAGTCACATGGAGAATTGAGATGGCCAGCCAACAGCCAGCGTGTGAGTGAGGCCACCATGGACCATTTTAATGAAGCCAGCCCTCCAGGTAAATGCAGCCATGTGCTCAGGTGGAAAGAACAGAGGATCTACTCAGCCAATACACTGAATTGTTTTAAGCGTGGACTCAAGATAGTTTCTTACATAGCAATAGGTAACCAATTTAGCAACCAAAAAATAATAATAATAATAATCCTGGTAATGCTAATCACCATAATAATAGCAGCAGCCAACAATATCAAGTGTTTCATATGTGCTAGGCATGTGCTAATAACTTTACATGCAGTATCTTGGTTATTCTTTAAATAATCCTATGATACTATTTCTGTCCCCTCTTCCCCTATTACTTCAGAGATGTCTCAGGCTTAGAGAGGTTAGTTAACGTGCCCAAGGACACAGCTAGAAAAGAACAGAGCCAGGACTCCAATCCCAGCCTAGCATCAAAGCCTGTGCTCTTAACCATCACCCTAAGCTGCTAATGGCTTTTCCTGGAGACTTTAAAAAATTATGAGTAGTTCATCAGCTATTTTTAAAGTAAATATAAAAAAGGTTATCAACTGAGGAGTGTGCTATGATCCTATAGAACACGAAGAAACAGCTAAAATTGAATGAATTGACTTGTCCAAATACGTACTAAAACTTGCAAGATCACAGTTTTTCTGGCAGAGGTCATATTATGAAAAACAATACATACTGGTCATCTCCAATAATTCTATTCTTTTAGCACAGCAAGAACTATATTGTATATTGAATATCTGTATCCTGGAAATGATTGGAACCTAGACTCCAGGGCTGAATAGGACTCTTTTTTGTTTTTGATTTTTTGGTAAATATATCTCTCATTCTACCCGACTTTACTCTAAAAAGTCTATGCCAATACATGAATGTCTAATTATATTTTTAAGTTAGAATAACTTATGCATGTATTACTTTATGATGTACTGCTTTAAGTAACTTCAGAATAACCAACCATATACCAGTCTCATATGCATTATATTTTGACTCCTTAATATCATGATTTAATATACACAAAAGCAGTATAATTCAGTGCAAGAATTTGTAAGGAATAATTATTATTGTGTTATTAATCATTATTAAATTATATAAAATAAGTCAAGATATTGGTTAGGTGCAGTGGCTCACATCTATAAATCCTAGCACTTTGGGAGGTTGAGGCAGGATGATCACTTGAACTCAGGAGTTTGAGACCAGCCTGGGCAACATGGCAAAAACCCATCTCTACCAAAAATACAAAAATTAGCTAGGTGTGGTGGCGCACACCTGCAGTCCCAGCTACTCAGGAGGCTGAGGTGGAAGGATGGCTTGAGCCCAGGAGGTGGAGGCTGCAGGGAGCCATAATCACACGACTGCACTCCACGCTGGGTGACAGAGCAAGACCCTGTCTTAAAAAACAACAAAAAGAGTCAAGATATTAAGCTGATAAACCATGAGGCATTAATTAACTACAGTTTACAGCATAAAAGGGAATTAGGTTAACTTAGGATTCAGATATAAATTTTCCTGAGAAAATAAGGTTCGTGCAGCTTGTCTCTTAAATTGTAAGAGGTGGTTCAGATAGAATTCCTTAAGGAACTTGCACATATTATTACTGAACTGTCTTAAATCAAATATATTTATGATATTTATGTGTTTGAAACTAATTTCTATGGTGTCATCTGACTCTGGTATTTACATTGTGTTGTTAATACAGATGACATCAGCATTACCCCCAAAAGTGTACCAAGATAAGGTCTTTCCTGTGACACTTCAGCTTAGTAAAAATGCTAATGAGAGACTTAGAAATATCTGAGCTGGACAGATGAACTCAGCACCCTTAAAATGAATTGTTTATTTATATGCTTAGACAAGTACAGAGTTGAACTTTATTTCCAGAAAAGCACCTGGTCACCTACATGAATAGATAAAGATGATGTCACTGCCTACAAAATAGGGTGAGTATTCTGAATTAGTTTTCAGCTGGACCAGTGTCTGGGTAACCGGATTTAAAAATATATATATTTTAACATGACTACTTTTGGTCAAAAGTAGTCTTGCAATAGCCCATGTGCAAGAAATAAACAAAGCTAAATGGCTTGTTATAAAGACCTGGATCTGGGCTCACTGCACCATGGTCAAAACAAGTCAGTACCCTTCACCTGTCTCTGAAGACAATGTAACCTGACAGAAAGGAGAAATCAATACAGCTCCATGAGGTAGCTCCATTTGCTATGTTTCTGTTTCTCAGCCCAGACTCCGGAAGCACTGGCAAGAATCTTCAATAGGTTTCAATGTGGTGGTCCTTCAGCTTTTTAGAGTCTACTGACCTTATCCAGAGCTGCCTGTACCTCAGCTTCACTTTCTGTGTCCAATGCTGACGTGGCCTCATCCAGCAGAAGGATCTTGGGGTTGCGAACCAGGGCACGTGCAATGGCGATCCTCTGCTTCTGCCCACCACTCAGCTGGGCCCCTCTCTCTCCAACCAGGGTGTCAAATTTCTAACACAGAAAACATGGATCAGCTCTTGAAGTAACTTAAATTTAAAAAGGCTAGGAATTCTATAGAACTACATAAAGACAACATGGAGCTTTGTCTTAACTATTTTAATGTATCATAAAGTATGATAAGATAAATGAATTCTGAATTATAAAAAACTGACACATGCTGTATAAAATTTTATATTAATCATCTACCATGCTATAATCCTTTAACCCCTAACTGAGTCATTCAGGGGACTTATCTAGCAAAGTTGGACAATCTTGCATCTCAAACATTATTAGCTAAACCTTTGAAGAATAAACTCAGTCCTATGAGGTGAAATTCTAATTTCAAGGACAACTACTTTATCAGAGGCTTTACCTGTGGTAATTTCATGATAAACTCATAGGCGTTGGCCTCTTTGACAGCTTTCTTTATCTCATCCATGGTTACATTTCCACGGCCATAACAAATATTTTCAGCAATTGTGGTGGAAAACAGCACCGGCTCCTGACTCACCACACCAATGATTTCCCTCAGATAGTTTACATTAAAGTTCCTAATATCCTGCCCATCAATGTTAATCTGAAAGAAAGAAATATTTCCTATTAAGTATTTAACCATTTAATAGCTGAAGTATCAGGACCATTCATGAAAAACATCCTACCTAATATTTAACTTGGTTCAGTGTTTAGAAATAATAATTAGAAATAAACAGCAATATGCAAGAACAAAAATAAAAAGCTTATGCTCTCTCCTGATATTTATTTTCATATATACAGTTTTTTCGTGGAAGGATTATTTGCCATAAACAATTTTGGGTTTTATGTTTTTGGCATACCATTATTTTTATGTTCCAATATTAAATTTAAATAAAAATGCACACTTACCTTCCTGGTCTACATATAATTTTGATAGCTTATGGTGTTCTGCTTTTTTTTTGAAATGGAGTCTCGCTCTGTCGCCCAGGCTGGAGTGCAGTGGCCCATCTCCACTCACTGCAAGCTCCACCTCCCGGGTTCACACTGTTCTCCTGCCTCAGCCTCGAGAGTAGCTGGGACTACAGGCACCCACCACCATGCCCGGCTAATTTTCTGTATTTTTAGTAGAGACGGTGTTTCACCATGTTAGCCAGGATGATCTTGATCTCCTGACCTCGTGACCGCCCGCCTTGGCCTCCCAAAGTGCTGGGATTACAGGATTACAGGCATGAGCCACTGCGCCTGGCCCATGTTTTGCTATTTTTTACATGCTTTAATTTACTTCCTTTCTTCTTAAATATTTGACTTACTTCAATATTTATTGCAAGAGTAGAGAATTACTAAGTTGAAGATTATGATTTATTTTTTCTCCCTTGACAACAATTGCTTACATGTACAATGACTGGATTTGCTGGGCATTTGTTGCTTGTTAATAAAAGGCTAAATAATTATCTTAAAACATTTTAATAACTTACATTGTCAACAGGAATATATAAATATATCTGTTTCATTGTAATTTACTAGCACTGGGTTTTATCATTTTAATCTGTTTTCTTCCAATTAATAGGTATGAGGTGATAGCTTATATCTGTTTTCATTTGTATACATTTATAAAGTTGACCATTTCTTGAAACTTTTTACAAATCTTTATATATTCCAGAGAGTCGCATGTTCATAATGAGCAGGGTTACCTTCATATATTCATATTAACTTCTCTAATAATAAATATAATACTTTTTCCATATATAATAAATCTTTTGTTCCAATTCATTATTTTTGTCCTTTTTTTTTTTTAAATTTAGAGACAGAGTTTCATTCTGTCACTCAGGCTTTGGAGGAGCATAGTGGTGCAACCATTGGTGCAACAATAGCTCACTGCAGCCTTGAACTCCTGGGCTCAAGTGATCCTCCTGCCTCAGCCTCCCAAGTAGCTAGGACTATGGGTGCACACCACCAGGCCTGGCTATTTTAAAAAATATTTTGTAGAGACAGATTCTCATTAGTTGCCCAGGATGATCTCAAACTCCTGGCCTCAAGTGAACCTCCCACCTCAATCTCCCAAAGTGCTGAGATCACAAGCATTAGCCACCATGTCAGGCCTTTATTGCTTTCTTTCATCATAGTTTTATTGGTTTTTATTGGAAAGAGGCTTAAGGAACAACTGAATTAATCAATTATGCCACTGGGCATTTTTTTCTATTATTTCAGTGGTAAGAAAATTGTTAAATCATGATGTTAACAGTGAATATCTCTGAGTTATAGAATTTCTGAAGATCTTTTTTTTCTGTTAACATATGCTTTCTTTAAAAATGTCAGTTGTTTCAATAATAATTTAATTCTCAATGGTTGGTATTTTACCAGGTTCTTTTTAAAAAATAAAGAAAATATTTACACTTGAACCAACCCAGAGTTTACTTTAGTAAATGAGAATGGGCCTATGTTCCCCCATAGTAATATCAGATTTTTCCAATAATATTAATTTTATTAAATTAAATAAATAGTTCCATGTATTGTAGAAAATTATGTATTAATTCTGGAGATCTCTGTTCTGTCCCAATGCCTTTTTATGATTTTTGGTTTTGGCATGCCATTATTTTTACTTTTTACCTTATAATCTTCTGTTTTCACAATTATTGAATTATAATCCATTTTAATATCAGATAAACTCAATGCTCTAAAATTGGGACAACTGAGGAAATTCTGAATATAGCTCGTGGACTTGTATATTGCATTAATGTTAAATTTACTGATTTTTAATCATTGTTTTGTGGTAATCTAAGAGAATGTCCTTTTTAGGAATGTATTCTGAAGTATAAGGGTATACATAATACACACACACACACATAAACACACACATACACACACACACGGAGAAAGAGAAGATGATAAAGCAAGTGGGTCAAAATATAAACAATCTAAATCTGGGTGAAGGATCTGTGAGTTCTCTAGTTACAATTTTCTGTAAATTCAAATTTATAGCAAAACTTTTAAATGGCAAAAAAACATACCCTAGGCTATTACTGTCTCTGTGTTTCTAGAATTTTCTCAAGAGACTAGTTTCTTAAGAGACCATCCCACTTTCCCCCTTAGATATTCCTAAGTTTAAGAAAACTCAACTGTCTTGGATGAATTTAATTGCTGTCCTAAAATATCTGGTGACCCTAATTGTCATCAATTGTTCCCAACAATTGCTATATGGAGTATGTTTGACCAAACTCTAACTCATTGAAAGTAATCCTCTCAGTGGTTTGTAGACTGCTTTGCAGTAATTTAATGTGTTATGAAAGCTTAGTCAGAACAGAGGAGAGCTTTGTCCAGCTTCCACAGCTTTTATGACTTTTATTTAATGCATTTGTGAAACCAGCCCAAGGGTGTGAAGGCATTATCCATCGGCATTGCCATTTTGTAGGCTTTTTACCAAAACTGGATTCACACGCAAATTTGTTACTGAAAAACCAATTTCAAAGGGCCAATTTGTATCCAGCTTCCCACTCTGGAAAGCTTGGTTCTTCCCACTTACTGTGCCCTCATCAGGGTCATAGAGCCTCTGTATCAGCTGGACCGTTGTGCTCTTCCCACAGCCACTACTTCCAACCAGGGCCACCGTCTGCCCACTCTGCACCTTCAGGTTGAGGCCCTTCAAGATCTGTAAGGAAAATGAGAAAAAAGAACACACTTCACAACAAAGCCCTAAAATGGGAATAATTCGATTCAGTTTGAAATTTGAAAAAAAAGTATCAAATAAGGGAATATAACCCCCAAAGGAAAAGGCACATAAGTATCAAAATAATAGAGACTTTATTCTTTAAAATGATTCAACAATCAACCTCAGTTAGGAATTCCTATAAATATTACTTACAGTACCTTGACGTTAGCTCGAGAAGGGTAAGAAAAGTGAACATCATTGAACTCCAAATTCCCTTTGATGCTGTCTGGTTTGTGTCCTCTCTCTGAAAAACTGTCAATTTTAGGATTCTAAATAAAACAAAATGTAATGACTATTCCATCATAGCACAAACAAGTTGCATTTTTAAGGAATATGATTCAGCAAATTCCAAAAATAGGACCTGGAATGTCACAATCCCCTTTACATAAGAAAAACCCAAGATGAAGATTGTGTGTATATGTATGTGTGCTGTTTAAAGAAATACTCCTTTTCAGAAAATAGTGTTTTCCTGAAAAGTACGTAAGAGATATTCATCTCATTTCATATAATATTTCCCTTTAAGTTTTTGGCATATCCTCATAAATTTTCTAAATGGTCAGATATGCATATTTATACAAGTGCAATAACAAAAATATGCTATAATTGATATATATTATAGCCAAGTATTTCAGCATTTAGTGAAAATTAGCTCATTCCTAAATAATAAATGTAATAGATTGAATTGAGAAGATTGAATGGTTGATTATAGCAGTTATTTAGAAATAATGTAAACTTTTAATACAATCAGAAACTGAGCACTTTTCTCACGACTTGGATCAATGAAAAAGGAAATTGCTTAGATTAAATGATCAAATTTCACTTAGCTACCTTGCAATATTTGAATGCAGTGACTTACTTTTTTACGTCAAAACTTTTTCTTTTTCACTGTAGTCAGTTTATTTAATGTAGTTTATTTAAAATCATACCAAACATGCAGTGATAATTTTTTGGAGAGGGGGAACCCACAGCAAAATATACTGTCAATTTTGGTCCCACCGATAATTTATCTACCCCCCATCCCATATAGAAATCATAAGATTCTCAGTCTGGCTACAACATGAAAGTGAAAAAGATAAAAACTAGGAAGAGAAACGTCTTTGCTCTGCACTAGTGCAGATGTCCTTTTCCAAAATGAGATCAGTATTATTATATTATCTAAAGATACATTTAAAAAATATTAATAAGAGGTATTTTCTTTCATTTATTACTAACAGGTCATTCATTTCATATAATTAAATGTCACTTTAGTCAGTACAACTTATTCAATGTAGTTGATTCAAAAATATGCAAACTAAAGCCAGATTTAATTATACAAGCTCAAAGACTTCTTTTGGCACTAAAATAATAAATGACTTACATTATCAATAATATCAAAGATCACATATGCTGCTCCTCTTGCATTGGCAAAAGCATCAATACATGGGGCAGCCTGGCCAACACTGAAAGCTCCAATTAGGATTGAAAAAAAAACCTGAGCAAAATAACATGAGGAAAAGTTTAAGTCACATTCTGGCATTCATTATTATCTAAAATGTGATGTATATGTAACATAGTACATAAAGGATTAAGTTTAGGTTTATCCTTTCCTTTTTTTTTTGTGGAAGAGCAACATTTGCAAGGCTAATATAGCATTTTATTGCCTGAGTGGGTCTATTTTCTCAAACTACCTATTGTTCTCCTGAATACATACAGAGTTAAAAAGATTTTTCAAACCTATTTCATTGACTCACTCACAAATGCCACCAGAAAGAAACATTTTCAGTCAGTATTATTATTCCATCCTATATGATTTTCTCTAACTATGCATGGAATTACATAGACGGTTCAATATAAAACATGGCAGATTTTGGCCCTATGTAATGCTCCTAAAAAGCACCATGTCACATATATTTTTAAAGATTTTTAACATAAAAAGTAACAGTTTGCACATCATAAAACATAAAATCACTCCAGTGTGCACTGGTTAGCAATTCCTTTACACAGTTATTCTGTACTGTAGCATACAACACTTAACACATTTCCCTTCACAGTATTTTTTCACTAGGAAAATGAATTGATATAAAGAAGCTCAGAATACAGCTTCAGGAATCCAGATTATTAGCATAACTTAACTGAGAAAAACATAAGTGAAGATAAATTATTTTTTTCTCTCAGGGCATGGTAAAACTTCTACATATAATTTGGCTTTTCTCAAAACACAGCAACACTTCATGTTACCCATAACTCAAATATCAGTTAAATATCTATCCCCCATCTGCAATACAGATAAGGACCAGTAAGAAAGAAAAATAATGTTGACCAAAATAGTTGCCATAAGGTTAATGCAATAGAGTCCCTGCCCTCTATGCAGAGGGCTTTGCTTGGGCTCCCTCTGGGGATAGCAATCTCAGCCCTACCGGATAGGTGTCATTATCCACATACTACAAATGAGGAAATTAAGGCCATAGAGGACAAACTCATCACCAAAGGTGAACGGTTGTCAGGATTCAACCTCCCTTCTTCATAAAACATCAATAGTAAATGAGGAAGTGAAGAAAGGGTAGCAAGCTTCCAAACCGACTGCCAGAGAGAAGATGGAAGTGAGAAAAATTAGACTCAGCATTAATGAGGGCTCACCAAGTCGAACACCCACAACCTCTCAATGAAGTCTGAAGATACCACTGCATAAAGCATTCTGAAAATATTCACTTTCATAATGACCCCAAGTCATCATCAAAGGGCCAAATTATGCTCAGTATCCTCATTTTAGCAAGATAGGGAAGTACAGATGTTAAAAGATTTCTATTTAAATAGTTACATATTGTTCTGAGTCTCTGACATGAAAAGATGGTCACAAAATATTGGTAGTTCATAAATGTGGTTACAAAAAGATATACATAGTATGATCCCAGTTTTGAAAGAAAACAATGTGTATATATATAGAAAATGACCTGGAAGATATATGCCAAAAATTATCATCAAGAGAATATAAATTATTAGATTGTAAGTAATTTTAATTTTAAAAATTCTGTATCCTAATCCTTTGTAAAATTAGTATATATTATTTTAACAATCATAAAATGAAGCTATCTTCATTTTGATAAATAAAAACAAACTAACATAACATCTCTTCTTGTATTTCAGAGAGCTGATTGTTTTAAGTGATATAAATGTAACATTTTCTTGTGCAATGACCTATTCTGTAATAATGATGCTTACTTTCTTATACAATAAAACTCAACGGCAGAGGGAGGATGGCTCCCATCCATATTTGTTTATTCCTAAATTCATCCCATTTTTATTTCCTTTTATACATTGTATATGTTTCACAAATGGTCTAACCACATGCTATTTTCTTATCCACACTCATAATTATGACTTGTATATACTAGAAAGTCAGCTCTGCCCACTGGACAGTGGAAAGATTCACCAAAAACAAAAACCTATAATCATGTTCATCTTTCAAAAAGGAGCGATATCAAAGAAAAGAGAAGGTAGATGGAGAAATAAGATTTTCATATTCTTCATAAATGTTAGGAGAACTACTTACTGTCATTGCATTTCCAATAGTATATTCTTTTGATATGACTAGAGTGGATCCATACCAGAAGGCCAGTGCATATGATGCATATATTAACAGGAAGGCAATACCCATGGAAATGTTTGCTGAAATAGCTTTTTTAATTCCAATCTCTTTGGCATTTTCTAAATGTTTCTGATACCTACCAGAAAAATGAGAGGGAAAACATTATAATTAAGAATAACAATCCATAGTCCGAGTCACACTCGGCTCCTATATAGTTGGAGGTTTAAGTAACAAAGTCAGTCAAGGTAATGAACCCATGGTGAGACCCAGATCTTTGGGAATTGAACTAATTCAGGATCAGCCAGGCCTAGAACAGATCCAAGCCTTCTCTTTACTGGCCCGGTTCCATTTCCCTTCATCCATTCCAAGCCAACCAACATTCCTGTGGTTATTCCAGAATTGAGGGCTCACCCTGGGATATGGAAGAGCTTCTCCATCACCTTCACGGCAATATCACAAGTCAGGGTTAAGAGGGAATGAGAGAAACCAAGCCAAACCAGAATTGATTGTAAATGTCACTGGAACTCATAAACAGTTAGATTCTTAACTCTGGTCAATGTCTCTTCTCTGGAGAAAAGAAAATCGTCCCTCTATTGTCCACTGGGTGAGGGATGAAAATTTTACATGTTGTTGTACATAAACATAGGCTTCTCTCTTTGACTTTTTTAAAAATCAGGCTGACCTTCATCTGTCAAGCTAGATACAGGTTATAAGGTAGTCACTACTTATGGAATATGAGTTCTTATTCAATTTTTCCAGACTTTAGTTTCATATATGAAAAATGGATTTAATAATGCCTAATTTGCAAGATAATTGTGAGGTTGGTAGATAATTGTAGAAAGTAGTACAGTAGCTGGTTCATAGTTAGCAAGCCTGATCATTTCTCTTACTATTATATTAGTATCATTGTGTTCAACTTTTATCTCTTCCTGAGTTTTGCTCATTCTATTACTATCATATCTTTGAATCATAATTCAAATGCATTATTACTGGCTGCTGGCATTTGATATAAAGTTTAAAATATCTAGAATGATTCTGTTAAATTACAATTTTTTTTCATCAAGTTAAATCAAATCTACTTTTTCATACTAGACCCAGAGGGTATGTAAAATTTAATTTGGGCTCCCTGAAATTTAAAGAAAAATCCAATGGGTATGCAATGACACTTCGAGGGGAAAATATCACACAAACTAGGATATTTTTCTTTGTGACAAAAAAAAACAAAAAACAAAACACAGCAACACCAGTTTTAGTGTTGAACCAAATAAAACATGAGAATTCATTAGTCTTTTAAAAAACATATTCTGCCATCAGAAGGTTTGTCTTTTTTATTGCGTAAAGCACCCAGGTCTTCAGGGTGCTTTCCTCTGGTTGGGGGCTGCATTCATAGAGCACAGCTGCATCTCTGGGGGTAGCCAGCAGGCCACAGCTAGCGCTGTGATTTCTCCTGTGTGGCTGAGCCTCAAGGCGTGGCAGGAAGACTTGCATCTGCCCAGTGTGACACACAGCTCCAGTGACAGCAGCGGACACACTGTAATTACCTTTGCTTAGGTGGCTCGCTTACCGGGGCTAATGGAGCGGCACAGATTACACTGACATCCTGAGGTCCAACTGAGGGTTAGTGTGGTCTGTGTGGACTATTATGTACAGGAAGCAGCAGTGAGAGAGAAAAAAGGAAGAGGTTAGAGGATCAGAAACATGTTGGCTTTGAAGAGGGATTAAGGAATAGAAAAGTAGAAAATTAAATGGGGGGAATAAGGGAAACTTTGTTTTTAATGCTAGAGAATTTCCAGAGAATTTTTATATCCAAGAGTTGTGAGTATCAAGAGTCCCATAGAATAGCCAAAGAAAATACTTTATATGGAATCATACTTCAACTACAGTAGGGGATATTGTTATTTAAATAAAACCCTAAGTAATTATTTTCATTTAAGTAGAGCAGAATAGCCTTTTTCATAGGTGTATTCTTATCCCCAAACTCATTGAGATATACACACTAAAGATGTATACACAGCTTTTCATATGTCAATCATGCCTTGATAATTTTTTCAGAGAAGAGTTTGCAACATGCCTCCAGATACTGGTCAATTTTCCAGGCTTATCCTGGATCATTAAAGTTGAATGCCAGAGGCCTGGGTGGGAAGCCCTGCCTCATTGTTATGGAGGACCCACAAGGCCCTACAAAGAATTCTGGGCTATAACTAGGAAGTCGATGTTTTCTCAGGTTTTTCTCTTCTATATTCCAGTTCATAGTCATTAAGGAGTAAAATAAAATAAAAAATATTTTGATAAGTATTTTTAATATAATTATTTTCCTTTGTAACCCTACTTATTTTGTTTTTTGGGGCTTTTATTTATTTATTTTTTGGTTTTTAAAAAATTTTTACTCTTTTTTTGTGATAGAGGCTCACTCTATCATCCAGGCTGGAGTTCAGCTCACTGCACCCTTGACATTCTGGGCTCAAGGGATTCTCCTGCCTCAGCCTCCTGAGTAGCTGGGACCACAGGTGCACACCACCACACTCAGCTTATTAAAAAAAAAAAAAATTGTAGAGCCAGGGTCTTACTACATTGCCCAGGCTGGTCTTGAGCTCCTGGATTCCAGCTACCCTCCTGCCTTGGCTTCCCAAAGGGCTAGCATATTTTGGTTTATGCATTTAAAAACAAGGGAGTCCATTTGTATTATCACATAGCCAAAAGAGTCCATGGAACATAAATGATTAAGAATCTTGCTTTAGAGTCTGACATTCAACTATAGCCATCAGTAAAGGGTGCTTATAATTTATGCGAGAAGGGTTAATATTAGGAAAGGGAAGGTAAAAAACACATACCACAAAGAAGAAGCAACAAAATGTAAAAACACATTCCTTAAACCAGTGGCTAAAGAACCTTCCTGACCTTTCCAGCTCTTTGTTCTGGCCCCCGAAAGCTATCACAGTCCTGATGGCCCCCAGAGCCTCTTCTGCCACGGCGCCTGCTTTTGCATAAGCAGCTAGTTCTTTGTCACTAAATGCCGAGAGTATCTGGACAGAAAAGAAACAGTGATCACTTTTGTATAGGGAGAAAAGTTTAAAGGCACTCTGGTCAACCCTTTAACCTACTTTTTCTTCCCAAACCCTCTCCTTTAACAAATATTAAAGTCATGTAGCAAATGCCAGTGTTCTGGATCCAATGGCTGCGTCCACATCCCTCAAAGGCTATATCTGACCCACCCTGGTGATAGGCTCCCCAAGAGTACTCAGGAAAAAAGAAAATCCACACATAATTCTCTAAATAGCACTCTTGGGAACACTGTCAAGTTCCACATCTACTGTTTTTCTTTGTTAGTTGTAAGGTAAAATAAAATAAAACTTTACTGCTTTGAAAGAATTTACCATTCTTAACTTTATTGTGTCACAATTTTTTTTTTTTTTTTTTTTGAGACGGGGTCTCACTCTGTTGCCCAGACTGGAGTGCAGTGGCACGATCTCGGCTCACTGTAACCTCTGCCTCCCAGTTTCAAGTGATTCTTCTGCCTCAGCCTCCCGAGTAGCTGGGACTACAAGTGCACACCACCACGCCTGGCTAATTATTTGTATTTTTAGTAGAGACAGGGTTTCACTGTGTTAGCCAGGATGGTCTCAATCTCCTGACCTCGTGATCCACCCACTTTGGACTTGTGTCACAATTTTTAATTACTATAAAAACAATACTTCCAGACCTCCTCATGGGCATTCTGCTGAATAATAAGATAGCCAAACAAGATGTTTCAGGAGAAAAGCAAAGGAAGAATCAAAACAAAAGAGATACAGGTAGTTCACTGTGTAAATCATCAACGTCAGGATGAGCAAAAATTGCCAGTAAAATTTCTCAACTCTGAAGTGTTGGCTAAAGTAGAATACATTTTGTGTATTTTATTGCCAGGCAAAACTGGCAGAGTGCCACTTAACCATCACAGGTAATGATTAAAACAAATAGAACAAATACAAACTCTATTTAAAATTTTTATGTTCATGCAATAATTTGAGGGAAATGTTATATTTTAAAGTTGCACTTCCTTAACTAAGGGTAATCGAAGTAAGAACTGTGAATTTTTTTTTTTTTTGAGATGAAGTCTTACTCTGTCACCCAAGCTGGAGTGAAGTGGCATGATCTGGGCTCACTGCGACCTCCACCTCCTGAGTTCAGCGATTCTCCTGTCTCAGCCTCCCAAGTAGCTGGGATTACAGTCATGCACCACCACGCAAGGCTAGTTTTTCATATTTTTAGTAGAGACAGAGTTTTGCCATGTTGTCCAGGCTGGTCTGGAACTCCTGACCTCAAGTGATTTATGTACCTTGGCCTCCCAAAGTGCTGGGATACAGGAATGAGTCACCACACCCAGCCTGTGACATTTTGAATTATGTTAAAAATTAATTTCCTTATGAAAGCATCATATTAACACCATGTTACTGGATGTAGTTTCAACTGACATTTAATGTAGACCTGAACAGGTACAAGTACGAGACTTCTGCATATTAAAGATTACTGTGTGCAGGGGTTAACACACATAAAAAGGCCCAGCTTTCACATACCTTTGCCCAAACGGCTGCAGAGAGTCCTAGAATAGGGCTGATGGCCATTATCACAAGGGTGAGCTTCCATCCTCTGATGAATCCCACTATGAATCCTGCAAAAAACGTGGCTACTGCTTGAAAGAACATTCCAACCTTGTCACCAATTCCTTCACTGATTTTGGAGATGTCACTAAAAAAGATCACACCTAAGTGGTTACAGGCAGGAGGTTTCAGTTAGAAAGATGAAGTAGACATCCAACAAACACATAGACAAGTAAAATTTGTTCACTGACTGCAAGCCTCTTTCAGAGTCTTAGCCTCTTGAATAACATCTTCCCCACCTAAACACCGCACAAAGGAAGAAATTCAGGATTGATCAATGCTTCTAATAAGTTAGTATCATTAAGTTGATACTATTAAATGAGTCAATCCTATGAGAGAAGCATTAACATTTTGAGCATAAAAATGTATCTGTTTAAAAGCAAGAATTAAGAAGAACATTGCAACAATAATAAGCAACAGTAGTAGGGAAGTATTACTGCATTTCTTCTTATAGGGAAGTAATAGGGAAGAGATCTTTGCTTCTACTCTTGTCCCTATTCCCAACCAAGTCTATTCTCAACACAGCAGCCAGTGGGATGCTTTGAAAATGCAAGTCTGACCATGCTACTCCTCAGCTCAGAAACTTCCAGCGGCTGCCATTTCACTGGGTGAAAGCTGAAGTCTTGAAGTCTTTGTGGAGGTTTACAAGGCCCTAAATGTCTTGCTTTTCCCTTTTTTTTTTTTTTTTTTTTGACTTATTTGCTCAGGATGCCTTTGCCAGGACTCCCAGTCAGGAAAGTTTATCATCTATCTCCCTCTACTGGAATGTAAGCACCAAAAGGACAGAGATCTGTGCTTTGTTCACTGATATATTACGAACACACAGAATGGTACTTCGCACATGAAACACCCTCAAATATTTGTTGAATAAGTGAAGAGTTGACAATTACTAAAGCAAGTCTCTTTGTAAATTAATTCAATCATCTATTCATTGATTCAACCATCTTTACTGACAGTCTAGCACCTGTCACGTCCTGCAGTAGAAAGTTCCATGAGAAATAAACAGGTATAAGATGTGAATTCAGTCCTCAAATAAACCTACTATGCACCTTGGGGGAAAGCCAACATGCAATGGCATAGGCTATAGATGCTGCTAGACATGGCTGCCAGATGATCGATTTCTAATATAGATCAGATGCTCAATCTAGTAACATTTTTCATTTAAAATCTTTCCTTGACATATTTTCACACAGTAATTAATTTCTATATGAAAGTGTGACATTAACAATGTACCTACTCTGTTAGCCGCGTATTGAGTTCAGTGGTGTCGTTGATGTCAAACCATCCTATTTCCTGTCGTAGAATAGCATGAAAAAACTTCTGCCTAATTTTCCTGATCTGTCGACCAGCTGCCAAAGTCCAAAATGAAACTTGTATATAGGCAGCAACAAGAACTCCAGCACCCAATCCTGAGTAGTAATATGCATATCTGAAAAAAAAGAGAAAGGCTCTATTAAATACCTTCTCTTTTCTTTTTTCTTTTCTTTTCTTTTCTGAAACTGAGTCTCACTCTGTCACCCAGGCTGGAGTGCAGTGGCACCATCTCAGCTCACTGCAACCTCCGCCTCCTGGATTCAAGTGATTCTCCTGCCTCAGCCTCCCGAGTAGCTGGGATTACAGGCATGCACCACCATACCTGGCTAATTTTTGTATTTTTAGTGGAGATGGGGTTTCACCATGTTGGCCAGGCTGGTCTCGAACTCCTGACCTCAAGTGATCTGCTCACCTCCGCCTCCCAAAGTGCTGGGATTATAGCATGAGCCACCACCCCCACCCTACCATCCTTTATTCATCTCTTTCAGGAGAAATTTTCAGAACTGGAAATTAATCAATTTACTAAACTTAAAACAAAAACTGTATAGGACATTATAACAAACAGACATTACATTTTTCTTTTTTTAAATTATAAAGTGATGAGCTCCATGATGGCAAATCTATTTACTTGAACTGTTAGCCAAAGAAAATGGATAAATTTTTGTTGTTAACTGCAAAAAAGTTAATGATTTGTTTTTAACTGATATTGATAACTTGTGGATACAATTTAACTCCTCTTTAATAATTATATTCTAGACTTGTATATCTTATTGTACTGAAAAGTTCACTACTATTTACATATTGCAAATATAGTAATAAGCAGATTGAACATGTGAAATCGCCCTTTCCATATTGATTTTTCCACATTCTTTATAAAAAGAACCAAAAAACTTTGTTCCTATTTGTCAGAATTTGAAATATTTTAAAAAAAGATATGATAAAATGTCATGAATTCAAACGAATTTGGAATGTTTTACCAAATTAGTAGAAAGTTAGTATTTTAAAAAATAATAAGTACATATCAATACTTTCAAATTTTTATTATCTAATTTTATAAACTGCTTCCAGATAGACACCTTTCAGGCCTTTTAGCATACAGACAGCACTCGTTACAATCAGCAACACTGCTATGCAGACATACAAACATCATGCTTACAGGCTTTAGAGATTTCTATTGAGAAACTAGAAGGAGGAGAAAATGCCATAAATGACATTATTGGATCAAATGACAAAATTGGAATATAGATGTTATATTAGATAAAAGTACTGAAATTTACTGAAGCTAATAGCTGTACTGTGATTATGTAAGAAAATATCCTTATTCTTAGGAGTCATACTGCAGTAAAGGGCCATGATGTGTGCATCTTACTTTAAATTGGGATTTGGGAGCAAAAATGATAATAATAGGTGAATCTGGGTAAAGAGTACACGTTATTTGTATATTCTTATAACTCTGTAATTGGAAATTATCTTCAAATGAAACTTTAAAAAAGTAGACCATATATATGAGTTACCTAGTCATTTCTTCTTCCAGAATTTTGCCTGGATTTAGCAGCGACAAGGAAAAGTTCACTAAATTAAAAAATAAAATAAAACATGTTAAAAGATCAAACTATTAATAGGCATTGCCAGGTTTTTAAAAATCTGTTAATAATTTAAATGTATGAAAGCTAGAAGATGCTATTGTTAAGTTTCTCTTTAAAAAACACTTTTCTTTGCACACTTAAGTGCATTCTTTTCACTTTACTCAAGTAAAGAGCCCAAGGGTTTAGGTACTGGACATTAAGGGCCAAGAAAGGGGAAGATAAGCCCTCCCAGGTCTTTCCCCCATCCTGGCGGTCTCAGCCTTTAGCAAAGCAGCCTTCTAAGGAGGCACAGAGGAGCCACTGAAGAGACAAGGAAGCCACAAAACACACAGAAGACAGAGGAGGGAATAAGAAATATTTAAAATAGAAAACACAGGATTTAAGAGGCATTTTTTTTTTTTGGTGGCTCAAAGCACTTTATAGAACTTCAATAAATTTTATTTTTATATCTGTGTGTTTTTTCTTTACATGTCTCATATGACATAAGTAAGGGAAAGGCTAAGTTACATCCATCGCAAAGGAGGAAAAACTAGACAGGGAAGATAACTTAGTTGCTCAAAGGCATGTCAGTGATCACTGGCAATTAGTGAACATCCTGCATTCCACCTCTTGTTTACCAGCACTGCTGTATTCTAGTATTTTTTGAAGCAGTATTAATTGGAAAGAAATCTATTGTCTATTAATTTGAGCTAATTTGATAAAATGTCAATGTATCTTTCCTGATTTCCATGTTTTAATAATAGCTAATGTTTATTGAGCATTTATTAAATACCAGGCACTGCTCTGAATACTTTAGGTGTGTTAATTCATTTAATTATCTTATGAGGTGAGACTATTTCACAAACCCCATTTTATAGAATAGGAAATGGAGGCACAGATAAATAAAGTAACTTACTCAATGTCATACAGCTAGTAAGTGGCAGAGCTGAAAGTCAGCCCAGGCAATTTGGCCTATGCTCGTAACACTATACTATACTGATTTATTCATGTGACAATGACTTATTTTTATTTTTTAGAAAAGACAAATGAAAAAATAAGAAACAGCCTACATCTACTGCATTCACAAAATAATAGGATAAAATATCACCACAGCATTGTTGAGAAAACACATCAGGGTACATATTTCTCATTTTCCATGGTCCTAGGAGAGAAATTGGTCTCTTTGTTCCTTTGCCATGTGTAAATAGCCCAGGGGTCGTGTTTTCGTGTTTTCGTGGTGCTGTGTATCCTCCTTATCTTTTTCCAAAGAAAGATAAGGTTGAAACTTATTTAAAACTCAAACTACTGTCAGGATCAATTACCAGGCATCTGGCCCCAACTGCAGCATCATCTTTCCCCCAGGATTATAATTTCTACTGATGTTCACAGTGAAATTTCCGATTATTAATCTAGCTCTTTATAAGCTATCAGAACCTTGAAGATTCATACCCTATTTTACTTTTCATCTTATCAGTTCCTTTCTGTGTGTTCATTTCCATCCTGAAGTTTTAAATAGGGCAAATTGGAAGAGTATTTGGAACTAGAGGCAGGCAAGCTATTCTAAAGCTGTGGCATTTGTAAAAATCATTGTGGTTTTTTTATTTCCCTGAACTGAAAAATTGGGTGAAATCTTAAATAAGTTTTTCCTCTCTTTCAACACCTACCTCAAACTTTTAAATTCTCTCAATAAGGATACTGATATGGTTTGGATATTTGTTCCCTCCAAATCTCACGTTGAAATGTGATCCTCAGTGTTGGAGGTGGGGCCTGATGGGAGGTGTTTGGGTCAAGGGGACAGATCCCACATGAATGGCTTGGTGCCCTCCCTGAGATAATGAGCGAGTTCTCACTCAGTTCATGTGACAGCTGGTTGTTAAAGAGAGCCTGGCCTCTCCCTCCTGCTCCCTCTCTCTCCATGTGACACATCTGCTCCCCATTCACCTTCCCTCACTGAGTAAAAGCTTCCTGAGGCTTTGCCAGAAGCCCCAAACAGATGTGGGTACCATACTTTTACAGCCTGCTGAACCATGAGCCAAATAAACATATTTTCTTCATAAATTACCCAGTCTCAGGTATTCCTTCCTAGCAACACAAAATGGACTAACACAGATACCAACTCAAATTGACTCTCCCTCCTAGGAAAGAATCTATGAGCGTTCCAGATTGGACCCGCTCCTTTCTCAGAGTCTCAAGAATGGAAATCTAGTGCTGGGTTAGTAACCTGAGGAGCTCCAGAGTCCCCGGGGAAACTCAGAGTTTCTGCTGCCTGGGACAAAGGTGAACTAAACATATGTTGGTGTGTTGCCTGAAAAGTCATGGCCTGCTAGATCTGAAAAGAGCCTACTCCTGGTCTTGTCAGATGCTACCTATTCTGCTTCAGTCTCATAAACGATATCTACATGGTCATTTGGCTTGGTGGTACTTAACGCTGTCTGTGCATTAGAATTACATGGGGAGCTTAAGAATTACAGATGTTCAGGCTCCACTCAAGCCCAATGCAGCCAGAATCTCTGGTTGAGTCCAGAGCATCACATTTTTATAAAGTGCCCCCCGCCAGGCCCGGTGGCTCACACCTATAATTACAGCACTTTGGGAGGCTGAGGCGGGAGGATCACTTGAGGCCAGGAGTTTGAGACCAGCCTGGGCAACGTGGTGAAATCCACCTTTACAAAAAGTTGGCCGGGCATGGTGGCAGGTGCCTGTAGTCCCAGCTACACAGGAGACTGAAGCAGGAGGATTACTTGAGCCCAGGAGCTCAAGGCTGGAGTGAGCTATGATCACTTCACTGCACTCTAGCCTGGGCAACAGAGCAAGACCCTGTCTCAAAAAAGAAAAAGTACCCTGGTTGATTCTAATATGCCAGGATGGAGAACTTACACCCCAGTCCACCTGAATGCCTCCCGTAGTAAGGAACTGGGGAACTCCTGAAGCTGCCTGTTCATTTTAGAGAGTACCTATATAACCTATCCATTTTACAGATGAAGAGACAGAGTGGGTTGTTTCATTTCCAAGTTCTTATAGCTAGTTTGTCCCAATATTTATTGATCATTTACTATGTTCCAGACACTTTACACAAATCATCTCACTTAATTCTATCAGTAAATTGATGCTTACCTCTCAAAGATGAGAACAGTAAGGATTATAGAGGTTAAGAGACTTGCTCATGGTCACACAGCTTATGGGTGAAGGGTCTGAATAAGCAGTGTATACATTAAGGATTAGATAGGGAAACATAGTCTTCATTTTCACTTTTGAGTCTCAAAGTAAATCAATGTCTGCCTTCCCGGATTCTGCCCAAGACTTCTTTTTTTTTCAAAGGGGAAGAAAGAGAGGTATCCATCACCTCAAGCATCTCTCCTTTCTTTGTGTTACAAACAATCCAATTATGTACTTTTAGTTATTTTTAAATGTTGCCTAGGACTTCTTTTAACACATAGAACTATTCATTATAAAATAAAGAGCTGGTGTTTGTTCAGGCACCCTAGGCACTATGGACAGTTATGAAGATATCTTGGGGGCTCAAAATGGCATTTTTCCCCTCAAACAAGAGGCAATGCAAGGACAATCAGGGTGCAGCTATTTTCCCGCAGAATTTTCTAGACTATTATAGTCACAGAGACAGCATAAAAGATATCAAGTCCTTGACACTCTGCAGAAAAACTGTTTTCTCCAACTCCGTCCTTAATGTTTTGGATGCAGAATGTTGTGTGCATACTTTCTGCACAACTGACTCATTGTGAGGGAACAACCCTGTCATGGAGTGGCTTTATTCTGTTGACAAGGACGAGCTTTGCTCACAATAAGTCATTGTCAGACCCTCTTGTAATATGAACCTTTTTTTCTTCTAACATGCCTTTCTCATTTGGCTCCTATTAAGTCTGGTTGTCCAAGCATCCAACAATTCTAAAGAATAGACTAAGTAAACATCTCTAAGAGATAAGCTGGAACCTCAGCTAAGTACCTCACTCTATCTGTTCCCAACCCCCATGATTTTTGTTAAACTCTACAACTCTCAACACATCAATAAGCAGTCTGGATTTAGAGTGAGTATCCTTTAAAGATTTCATTGTCTTCTAAGAGGTATGAGAATATTATTTTTACAAACGACCAAAGAGTGGATGCTGGAAATTCATAACATTTGAGGAACTTTCCATCTAAATACTCCATAGCATCCAGTAAGCCTAATGAGAAACATGGCTACAGGGTACCAAGCATCATAACAGGAGTGTTTATAATTCGGAGGCTACCAAAACAAAGTTGGCAACTCTCGCGAGTTTATCTCTGTGTCAACCACAGTTCTGTAAGTGACTTGCTTGTGCCATTCCCCAGAGAGACCTTGAATTTGGCACCTCTCTGCCATGTCCAGCTTAAAGCCATTCAGTTTCATAATTAGGCACAAGTTAAAAAAAAAAAAAAAAGCAAACTGCTCCAAATAAGAAAGTTGGGAATTATTCTGGTATTAGTAAAAACAAAAACAGAACTAATAAAATTGGTCCAAAAGAGAAATGATGTGTGATAAGTGAATTGCATTGCTTTAATCTGACTTTAAAAATTTTAATTGTGATAAAATACCTTACATAAAGTTTACCATGTTAACTATTTTTAAGTGTACAGTTCAGTACTGTTAAGTATATTCACACTGTTGTCCAGCCAACCTCCAGAACTTTTTCAACTTGCAAAATTGAAATTCTATACCCATTAAACAACAGCTCCCCACTGCTCCTCCCCACAACCCCTATTAACCACCATTCCACTTGCGTTCTTATGAATTTTACTCTAGATACCTCATAAAAGTAGAATCGAACAGTATTTATCTTTTTTTGAGTGGCTCATTTCATTTAGCGTCATGTCCTCAAGGTTCATCTATGACATAGCATATGTCAGAAGTTATTTCCCTTCAAAAGGCTGAATAATATTCCATTGTATGTATCTACCATATCTTATTTTTCCATTCATCTGTTAATCTGATTTTTTTAACCCTGTGTAGAAGCCATTTAAAATTTTTTTTTTACTTTAAATTTATTTTTTCTTGGTAAAGGTGTATACGTCAACAGTTACAAGCGAGAATACAGGGAGACATCACACCCACCCATTTTCAAAGCCACTCACTTTCTCTCCCTAGAAGTAATCATCAGTTTCTCTACATTATTTCACAGATATTTTATGGACATATAAGTGCTTCGCTGGAAGGCTAATGTGAGTCACCAAGAGATAATATCTGCGACACTTGAAAAGAGGTGCTAGACCATACATGAACAGATAAAGTTGGGTCTTATTCCACAAAAATATTCCATTGGTGCTCTAATAAATGGTGCTTTATGGTTTGAAGATCAGGAAATGTGAAACCCAAAGATAATTTCAAAGTAGGGGCAGTGGAGATATGGTGCTGACAATTCAGGAGTTGGAGAAACGTCTTTGTAGTTTCTTTGATTTTTTTTTTCCAGATGAAATAAGATGGAAATCAAAGGCAGCTGGTGTAAGTTCCTATACAGTCATTGTCCTGCTACTAAAGGGATGGGTGAGAAACCCAGCTCCGCATCTGGAAGGTCAGACCATTTAATAGACCCTTGAGTATTAATGTGCATAAATGCATCTCTGATTCACTGTGGGGAAGGAAATGTCTTGCTAAAATACCATTGCTAATTCAGTGGGTCCAGATGTGGCCTGGGAGTCTGCATTTCTTTTTTCTTTTCTTTTTAAAATAATTTCAATTTTTATTTTAGATTCAGGGGGTATATGTGCAGTTCTGTTACATGGGGATACTGTGTGATGCTGAGGTTTGGGATATGAATGATCCTGTCACCCAGGTAGTGAGCATAATACCTAGTATTTGGTTTTTCAACACTTGCTGCCCTCCCTCCCCTCTCTAGTAGATCTCAGTGTCTATTGTTCTCATCTTTATGTCAATGTGTTACCCAATGCTTAGCTCCCACTTATAAGTGAGAATATGCAGTATTTGGTTTTCTATTCTTGTGTTAATTTGCTTAGGATAATTGCCTCCAGCTGTATCCATGTTGCTGGAAAGGACACAATTTTGTATTTATTTATTTATTTATTTATTTATTTATTTATTTATTTATTTTGAGACAAGGTCTTGCACTGTCGCCCAGGCTGGAGTGCAGTGGCACCATCTCGGCTCACTACAACCTCCACCTCCTGGGTTCAAGCAACTCTCCAGCCTCAGCTTCCCAAGTAGCTGGTGATTTCGTATTTTTTATAGGTGTGTAGTATTCCATAAGAAATAGATTTTTAACTGAGGTGTCTTAATATGGGCATCATCCTGCTCTATATGTATACAAAATTAATATGTTGTAGATCTGTAGATTTTCTAGGAAAACAAATACACAATAGAAAATTCCTACCTCTCCCATTTCTTTAAAGACTTTTTTTTTCTTGAGACGGAGTTTTGCTCTTGTTGCCCAGGCTGTAGTGCAATGGCAACCTCCGCCCCCTGGGTTCAAGCGATTCCTCTGCCTCAGCCTCCAGAGTAGCTGGGATTACAGGCATGAGCCACCATGCCTGGCTAATTTTGTATTTTTAGTAGAGATGGGGTTTCTCCACAATGGTCAGGCTGGTCTCGAACTCCCAAACTCAAAACTTAATTGCCACCACCTTGGCCTCCCAAAGTGCTGGGATTACAGGTGTGAACCACCAACACCCAGCCTCTTTAAAGACTTTTTAAACTATCTGTCCTACCACAACTTCACAATGTTTATGTTAAAGTTTTGGTCACTAGTCACAAATAAGCAATCCATTTAAAACTTTCCCAAGCACTTTTTTTTCCGAATCATCTATATTGACACTATACTATATATGATAATAAGCATGGTTTGGATGGCAGAAAGACCAGCAGTGTAACTATGGAAAAGTTATTTGCCCTCTCCAAGCCTTGGTTTTGCCATCTATCACAGAAGATAACATTACCTACTGTGTAGTATTGTTCTTGTGAGGGTAAAGTGGAATAATGTATGTAAAGTGCTCAGCATAGGACCTAGCACATAGTAAGCACAATGAAAAATCACCATTATTGTTATTTTTATTATAAAGAGGTTTTTTTCAGAAACTATATTACTTGAGAATAAATAAATAAACTTTTATAGGAGTTTGCTTTAAATATTCAAAGGATGCTTTTACTGGATTTTTAAAAGGCATTAATATTTATCAATATTTATGTAAACATATTCTGCTGTATTAATTAAACAATCCTATTCTCTTAGGAAATTACACGTAAGGCCTACAATAGTAACTAAATATGTAGTTCTCAGTCAGTGAACACTGTAAATTCTTATTCAATGCTGTCTAAATGATAGAGTAATTTTTCTTACATATCTTTGCTAAGAAAGCTGCCTTTCCTTTACCAGTGTTTTGAAAATATTCTACCATCTGTGCAACAGTAAAGCTTCACTCAGTCTTCTCCAGCCCAGTGCCCACAAGGTCTCTTAGAGAAAAGAGGCTTCAGGCTTGGTAGAAAGCATGAAAATTTTCCTTTCTATGTTGAATTTCGTTACTATGAAAATAACCATGTCTATTGGAGCCCCACTGTAATGCTATTGTCAGGGCCTCTCGTATTGATAACATTAACTTATGGGACACTTGGCTCTTCAGTAATCATAGTCCTTTGGGTGAGTTCCAAGGGACGTATTGAATCCATTCACTCTTTAGTGAAATGCCATCTCAAGTTCCAGTCAATCTGGTTGATCCAAAATTAGAGACAGAAAATGGGTATAATTTTTTTTAAGGTGAAGGGGAGAGAAGAAAAGAAAACCCAGAAACAGATCTACAAGCTAAACACAGCTAAGAAGTACTGCCATGTTTAACTGATGTGCTTTGAAACTCATCAGCAATTACTAATGGGATGGATACTGCATAGAGATACTCTCATTACATTTCCACTGTTCTCAAGTAGAGTGACTTCCTTACTTTATTTAGAAGCTTCCTGTGTATTTCCTTCACCTGTATTAAAAGTCAAACAACAATACACATATTTCTTTAAATTTAAACGAGTATTTGAACAATTTTCTGAGAATTTTACAACTCCTTCTATGATATCTGGAGTCAACCAGATATCCAAATCATTAAATAAGATGGTAATGAATAGCAAAATCAACTCCCAAATTTTTACCCAGTTAAAGAAATGCTATGGATTTTTTTAAAAGGTAAAGAAATGCTTACCTGGAAAGGAGAAGTTTCCTGCAGTATCAACAAATTTGTCAGTCATCTCTCCAAATACTATCATCATGAGGGGGAGACCTGATCCGTGAGCTATGGCCATGATGGTACCCAGCGACATAAACAATTTATCCTGCCAATCGGAGTATCGAAACTAAAAAAAGGAAATAAAATAATACTTAGCTGTGGAATGGAATTTCTCCTCTTCCATAATTATATATTCTTTGGATTTTTATTTAAAGTCAGTACTTTTTTAAGAGTTGTAAATGAATGTCTTAGAAAAGGAGGCCTTCAAATCATTAACAACTTAATTTCATGATTCTGTTTATTTTGTATTCTGTGAAGAAATCAATCTAATTATGTTTAATTGGTATCTGATTTGAATAAATAATTACTATACAATCAAAAGGGATAAAGGTTTAAGAAATATTATTTGATATCCCAGAGCTCCTGTGGTAATAAAGAACGGCTAGGGAAAGACATTAAGTTTAAACACACACACACACACACACACACACACACCACATCCTTTAAAAAAGCATTCAGAATATTTCAGAGGGAGAATTTAAAATAGAGGAAAATAGATGCTCTGAGTTTTGAGATAAGATCCCTTTAGAAGGTTTAAGTTAGCTTTAAAAAGGCAACTCAGTAGTGAAGCACAATAAACATTACAGTGTGTCTATATATGCACCTTAGGGAAGTCTTGCCTATGGAGATCCTTATGCAGAACCTTTTTTAAAAATTTAGTTTTCACCAGTGTCACCTGCCAAGTATGCAGAACCTTGAAGGGTAAGAGGGAGTTCGCTGGAGAAGAATCGGCGAGTGTAAAAGAAGTAGGAAGAATTTAGGCTTAGAATAAGAAGGTAACTAGAAACTACATGGAATGCTTAAGTAACCCCTGGCAGTGGAATTCCTGAAGGGCACAGTACAAAGTGTGGGAGAGGATGTTGGAGAGAGATAGAAGGCCTGCGCTGGTGGGCCACACCAAGAATCTTGGACACAGTACTACCTACAGAGGGGAAGGGTGATACCAGTTGTCACAGTGAAGTGCACAACCCTCAAGAACTAACCAGCAGTTCAGTGTTCTAACACTTCAAAGGACTTTGTTACTGTCTTATTAGTCCTCTTCCATTTCTCACCTTTTCTTTCTGTTTTTGATTGACCCATTTATGGCTCTCTTTCTCTTTGTTCTTCTTTCCTCCTCTGCCTTCTAGACTACATTTTCCTCATCTTACATTTCCATTTCTATAGCTTCCTATCTTTTTTTTCTCTCCTCTCTTTTAAAATGCTTTACTCTGCCCATTCCCCCCACCTCAGCCCCTTTTGGGGACAAAGAACAGTTATTGGGAGAGAGGGTGATGAGCCAGGCTTGGCACAGTGGAGCCTTTGAGGGCTGAAGCTAGGTCAGACTGGGTCAATAACCCGGGTGAGGCTGAGGTTAGAGGCACATGGTGGAAAGTGGATATGTGTGTACACCATTCTCAAAGATTTCCAGGAGTTCAGGCAAGGTTTCAGGGACAGGGACAAACTCCATCATCAAACACACAGGGCAAGCAAGAGAACCGAAAGAGACAAAGGGTCAGAAACCAGGCAGAGCTTGGATAAAACAATGGGAGCAGGTAAAGTCAAGAGCCAATGGAGCTGGGTCCCTAAAATTGTCACAAAGGGACCAGTGTCCCAAAGGTTCATTTTTAGTGGTTCTGGGAAAAGGAAAACAGAACACTTGAGTCTGTCAGCTATAGTTAAAAGCACAGGGTCAGGTTGTTAACATTAAAAAGCATTTTAAATGTTTTCATATTAATTGAATACAATTTTACAGCCTCTAAGCATAAATTTAAAACGAGGTGAATTTCACAGCAACATCCTAAGTAAACCTAGGTTTGTTTTCAGTGATTTTCCAGAAAATAATATATTTCTAACTCCTGTTAGAGCACAGTTTTATCCTCAACCTCTTTCAGGACAAAAAATATCTATTAAGATATCTAGTAAGAGGTGAAAATAAATATTAAATTTAAGTTTAACTTAAGCTAAAACTTCTAAATTCAAATGAAAATTTCTGTTCCTACATTAAGGTTTGTAGGATTGTATTTTCTGTAGGAGGCAGATTTAAAACCTATGCATTAAAACCAGCTTTCAGAGGCGGTTCCAAGATAGCTGATTAGGAACAGCTCCAGTCAACAGCTCCCAGTGCAAGTGACACAGATAACAGGTGATTTCTGCATTTCCTACTGAGGCCCCAGGTTCATCTCACTGCGGCTTGTCGGACAGTGGGTGCAGGACAGTAGGTGCAGCGCACCGAGCATGAGCCAAAGCAGGGGGAAGCATCCCCTCACCCGAGAAGCACAAGAGGTCAGGGAATTCCCTTTCCTAGCCAAGCAAAGCTGTGACAGACGGCACCTGGAAAATCGGGTCACTCTCACCCTAATACTGCGCTTTTCCAATGGTCTTAGCAAACGGCACATCAGGAGATTACATCCCACGCCTGGCTCAGAGGGTCCCACACCCACGAAGCCTCGCTCATTGCTAGCACAGCAGTCTGAAATCAATCTGCAAGGTGGCAGCGAGGCTGGGGGAAGGGTGCCCTCCATAGCTGAGACTTGAGTAGGTAAACAAAGCGGCCAGGAAGCTCTTGAGTAGGTAAACAAAGCGGCCAGGAACTGGGTGGAGCCCACCACAGCTCAAAGAGACCTGCCTGCCTCTGTAGACTCTGCCTCTAGGGGTAGGGCATAGCTGAACAAAAGGCAGCAGAAACCTCTGCAGACTTAAATGTCCCTGTCTGACAGGTTTCAAGAGAGTAGTGGTTCTCCCAGCACAGCATTTGAGATCTGAGAATGGACAGACTGCCTTCTCAAGTGGGTCCCTGACCCCCGAGTAGCCTAACTGGGAGGCACCACCCAGTAGGGGCAGACTGACACCTCACATGGCCGGGCAGCCCTCTGAGACGAAACTTCCAGAGGAACAATCAGGCAGCAACATTCGCTGTTCATCAATATTCGCTGTTCTGCAGCCTCCGCTGCTGATACCCAGGAAAACAGGGTCTGGAGTGGACCTCCAGCAAACTCCAACAGACCTGCGGCTGAGGGTCCTGACTGTTAGAAGGAAAACTAACAAACAGAAAGGACATCCACGCCAAAACCCATCTGTACGTCACCATCATCAAAAACCAAAGGTAGATAAAACCACAAAGATGGGGAAAAAACAGAACAGAAAAACTGAAAATTCTAAAAATCAGAGCGCCTCTCCTCCTCCAAAGGAATGCAGCTCCTCACCAGCAATGGAACAAAGCAGGACGGAGAATGACTTTGATGAGTTGAGAGAAGAAGGCTACAGATGATCAAACTTCTCTGAGCTAAAGACGGAAGTTCGAACCCATGGCAAAGAAGTTAAAAACCTAGAAAAAAGAATAGATGAATGGCTAACTAGAATAACCGATGCAGAGAAGTCCTTAAAGGACCTGATGGAGCTGAAAACCATGGCACAAGAACTATGTGACGAAAGCACAAGCTTCAGTAGCCAATTCGATCAAGTGGAAGAAAGGGTATCAGTGATTGAAGATCAAATGAATGAAATGAAACAAGAAGAGGAGTTTAGAGAAAAAAGAATAAAAAGAAACAAGCAAAGCCTCCAAGAAATATGGGACTATGTGAAAAGACCAAATCTATGTGTGATTGGTGTACCTGAAAGTGACAGGATTAATGGAACCAAGTTGGAAAACACTCTGCAGGATATTATCCAGGAGAACTTCCCCAATCTAGCAAGGCAGGCCAACATTCAAATTCAGGAAATACAGAGAACACCACAAAGATACTCCTCGAGAACAGCAACTCCAAGAAACATAATTGTCAGATTCGCCAAAGTTGAAATGAAGGAAAAAATGTTAAGAGCATGCAGAGAGAAAGGTCAGGTTACCCACAAAGGGAAGCCCATCAGACTAACAGCTGATCTCTCGGCAGAAACTCTACAAGCCAGAAGAGAGAGGGGGCCAATATTCAACATTCTTAAAGAAAAGAATTTTCAACCCAGAATTTCACATCCAGCCAAACTAAGCTTCATAAGCGAAGGAGAAATAAAATACTTTACAGACAAGCAAATGCTGAGAGATTTTGTTACCACCAGGCCTGCCCTAAAAGAGGTCCTGAAGGAAGCACTAAACGTGGAAAGGAACAGCCAGTACCAGTCACTGCAAAAACATACCAAATTGTAAAGACCATCAAGGCTAGGAAGAAACTGCATCAACTAATGAGCAAAATAACCAGCTAAAATCATAATGACAGGATCAAATCCACACATAACTATATTAACCTTAAATTTAAATGGGCTAAATGCTCCAATTAAAAGACACAGACTGGCAAACTGGATAAAGAGTCAAGACCCATCAGTGTGCTGTATTCAGGAAACCCATCTCACGTGCAGAGACACACATAGGCTCAAAAGAAAGGGATGGAGGAAGATCTACCAAGCAAATGGAAAACAAAAAAAGGCAGGGATTGCAATCCTAGTCTCTGATAAAACAGAATTTAAACCAACAAAGATCAAAAGAGACAAAGAAGGCCATTACATAATGGTAAACGGATCAATTCAACAAGAAGAACTAACTATCCTAAATATATATATTCACCCAATACAGGAGCACCAAGATTCATAAAGCAAGTCCTTAGATACCTACAAAGAGACTCCCACACAATAATAATGGGAGACTTTAAGACCCCACTATCAGCATTAGACAGATCAACGAGACAGAAGTTAACAAGGATATCCAGGAATTGAACTCAGCTCTGCACCAAGTGGACCTAATAGACATCTACAGAACTCTCCACCCCAAATCAACAGAATATACATTCTTCTCAGCACCACACTGCACTTACTCCAAAATTGACCACGTAGTTGGAAGTAAAGCACTCCTCAGCAAATGTAAAAGAACAGAAATTATAACAAACTGTGTCTCAGACCACAGTGCAATCAAACTAGAACTCAGGATTAAGAAACTCACTCAAAACCGCTCAACTACATGGAAACTGAACAACCTGCTCCTGAACGACTACTGGGCACATAACGAAATGAAGGCAGAAATAAAGATGTTCTTTGAAACCAATGAGAACAAAGACACAACATACCAGAATCTCTGGGACACATTTAAAGCAGTGGGTAGAGGGAAATTAATAGCACTAAATGCCCACAAGAGAAAGCAGGAAAGGTGTAAAATTGACACCCTAACATCACAATTAAAAGAACTAGAGAAGCATGAGCAAACACATTCAAAAGCTAGCAGAAGGCAAGAAATAACTAAGATCAGAGCAGAACTGAAGGAGATAGAGACATAAAAAACCCTTCAAAAAGTCAATGAATCCAGGAGCTGGTTTTTTGAAAAGATCAACAAAATTGATTGACTGCTAGCAAGACCAATAAAGAAGAAAAGAGAGAAGAATCAAATAGACGCAATAAAAAATGATAAAGGGGATATCACCACTGATATCACAGAAATACAAACTACCATCAGAGAATACTGTAAACACCCCTACATAAATAAACTAGAAAATCTAGAAGAAATGGATAAATTCCTCAACACATACACCCTCCCAAGACTAAACCAGGAAGAAGTTGAATCTCTGAATAGACCAATAACGGGCTCTGAAATTAATAGCTTACCAACCAAAAAAAGTCCAGGACCAGACAGAATCACAGCCGAATTCTACCAGAGGTACAAGGAGGAACTGGTACCATTCCTTCTGAAACTATTCCAATCAATAGAAAAAGAGGGAATCCTCCCTAACTCATTTTATGAGGCCAGCATCATCCTGATACCAAAGCCTGGCAGAGTCACAACAAAAAAAGAGAATTTTAGACCAATATCCCTGACGAACATCAATGCAAAAATCCTCAATAAAATACTGGCAAACCGTGGGCGCGGTGGCTCACGCCTATAATCGCAGCACTTTGGGAGGCTGAGGCGGGCGGATCACAAGGTCAAGAGATCAAGACCATCCTGGCTAACATGGTGAAACCCTGTCTCTACTAAAAATACAAAAACTAGCCAGGCGTGGTGGTGGGGACCTGTAGTCTCAGCTACTCGAGAGGCTGAGGCAGGAGAATGGCGTGAACCCGGGAGGCGCAGCTTGCAGTGAGCCCAGATAGCGCCACTACAGTCCGGCCTGGGCGAAACAGCGCAACTCCGTCTCAAAAAATAAATAAATAAAATAAAATAAAATAAAATAAAATAAAATAAAATACTGGCAAACCGAATCCAGCAGCACATCAAAAAGCTTATCCACCATGATCAAGTGGGCTTCACCCCTGGGATGCAAGGCTGGTTCAACATACACAAATCAATAAACGTAATACAGCATATAAACAGAACCAAAGAAAAAAACCACATTATTATCTCAATAGATGCAGAAAAGGCCTTTGACAAAATTCAACAGCCATTCATGCTAAAAACTCTCAATAAATTAGGTATTGATGGGAGGTATCTAAACATAATAAGAGCTATTTATGACAAACCCATAGCCAATATCATACTGAATGGGAAAAACTGGAAGCATTCCCTTTGAAAATTGGCACAAGACAGGATGCCCTCTCTCACCACTCCTATTCAACATAGTGTTGGAAGTTCTGGCCAGGGCAATCAGGCAGAAGAAAGAAAGAAAGGGTATTCAATTAGGAAAAGAGGAAGTAAAACTGTCCCTGTTTGCAGATGACATGACTGTATATCTAGAAAACCCCATTGTCTCAGCCCAAAGCCTCCTTAAGCTGATAAGCAACTTCAGCAAAGTCTCAGGATACAAAATCAATGTGCAAAAATCACAAGCATTCTTATACATCAATAACAGACAGAGAGCCAAATCATGAGTGAACTCCCATTCACAATTGCTTCAAAGAGAATAAAATACCTAGGAATCCAACTTACAAGGGATGTGAAGGACCTCTTCAAGGAGAACTACAAACCACTGCTCAACGAAATAAAAGAGGACACAAACAAATGGAAGAACATTCCATGCTCATGGATAGGAAGAATCAATATCGTGAAAATGGCCATACTGCCCAAGGTAATTTATAGATTCAATGCCATCCCCATCAAGCTACCAATGACTTTCTTCATAGAATTGGAAAAAACTACTTTAAAGTTAATATGGAACCAAAAAAGAGCCTGCATTGGCAAGTCAATCCTAAGCTAAAAGAACAAAGCTGGAGGCATCATGCTACCTGACTTCAAACTATACTACAAGGCTACAGTAACCAAAACAGCATGGTACTGGTACCAAAACAGAGATATAGACCAATGGAACAGAACAGAGCCCTCAGAAATAATACCATACATCTACAACTATCTGATCTTTGACAAACCTGACAAAAACAAGAAATGGGAAAAGGATTCCCTATTTAACAAATGGTGCTGGGAAAACTGGCTAGCCATATGTAGAAAGCTGAAACTGGATCCCTTCCTTACACCTTATACAAACATTAATTCAAGATGGATTAAAGACTTACATGTTAGACCTAAAACCATAAAAACCCTAGAAGAAAACCTAGGCAATACCATTCAGGACATAGGCATGGTCAAGGAGTTCATGTCTAAAACACCAAAAGCAAAGGCAACAAAAGCCAAAATTGACAAAAATGGGATCTAATTAAACTAAAGAGCTTCTGCACAGCAAAAGAAACTATCATTAGAGTGAACTGGCAACCTACAGAATGGGAGAAAATTTTTGCAATCTACTCATCTGACAAAGGGCTAGTATCCAGAATCTACAAAGAACTCAAACAAATTTACAAGAAAAAAACAACCCCACCAACAAGTGGGTGAAGGATATGAACAGACACTCCTCAAAAGAAGACATTTATGCAGCCAATAGACACATGAAAAAATGCTCATGATCACTGGCCATCAGAGAAATGCAAATCAAAACCACAATGAGATACCATCTCACACCAGTTAGAATGGCAATCATTAAAAAGTCAGGAAACAACAGGTGCTGGAGAGGATGTGGAGAAATAGGAACACTTTTACACTATTGGTGGGACTGTAAACTAGTTCAACCATTGTGGAAGACAGTGTGGTGATTCCTCAAGGATCTAGAACTAGAAATATCATTTGACCCAGCCATCCCATTACTAGGTATATACCCAAAGGAATATAAATCATGCTGCTATACAGACACATGCACAAGTATGTTTATTGCAGCACTATTCACAATAGCAAAGACTTGGAACCAACCCAAATGTCCAACAATGATAGACTGGATTAAGAAAATGTGGCACATATACACCATGGAATACTATGCAGCCATAAAAAATGATGAGTTCATGTCCTTTGTAGGGACATGGATGAAGCTGGAAACCATCCTCAGCAAACTATCGCAAGGACAAAAAACCAAACACCTCATGTTCTCACTCACAGGTGGGAACTGAACAATGAGAACACTTGGACACAGGAAGGGGAACATCACACACCGGGGCCTATTGTGGGGTGGGGGGATGGGGGAGGGATAGCATTAGGAGATATACCTAATGTAAATGACAAGTTAATGGGTGCAGCACACCAACATGGCACATGTATACATATGTAACAAACCTGCACGTTATGCACATGTACCCTAGAACTTAAAGTATAATTTAAACAAATTTAAAAAAATAAAGAAAAAAAAACTTCTAAAAAAATAAATAAAACCAGCTTTCATTTGATAAACAATTTATTCTCCAAAGTGCTAATTTTTTTTTAAATTGCCCTTACTGAGGCTTTTTAAACAAATAAAAAAAGAGGAGAGAAGACAATGAATAGGGGCTTTTGGTTACATGAGAAGTATGCAGCAGTGTTTGAGAGTGTGGATGTTTTGGTGTCTTTTTATCCATTTAATTACTAAGTTGGATTTCAGCTGACATGACACTTAATTCTAACTTCTTTGCTACCAAATAATGGCTGTCACAGTTTGAAACACGTCATATTTACCAAAAATGGGCAAATGCTTTCTTGAGCTGCCTCTGTAAGACATATTTCAAATGAAAACCAGATGAGGAGACTTCTTCCAAAAATATTGTCTTGTCTTGTACCAACAGAAAAGCACCGAAAACTGTTTTAAGCATAATCAGAATTCCTAATAGTTACCCCCTATTTAGCCAATTTTTTGGAAACCAAATGTGAATGTAGATTCCTTAAATTAAAATTTATGTACTTAACAATTACTTTCTTGAAATGCAAGCTTATTTTAAGCTAAATTTGGGGTGGGGGTCTGTGAAGCAAATGCAGAAATGCATTTTCTTGAAATTGTTGAGTTTGCATTGTGCTACTAACACAATTCCCATTTTCACTTTCCTTGCACACCAGTTAGCTCTGTCCGGTGTCATCGCCAGCCTGTCTCTACTTTTTAAAAAATCATCCATCTTAAGAATGTGGGTCATTGACTATAATAAGCCAAACTTATACAGCACAGGTGCAGCAAGGACAATTTATTGCTGTCTGCAGACAGTTTTTTGTTGTCGTTGTTTTTGAGACAGGGTCTTGCTCTGCCACCCAGGCTGGAGTGCAGTGGTGTGATCATAACTCACTGCAGCCTCAGACTCCTAAGACCCTCCTGCCTCAGCCTCCCAAGTAGCTGGGACTACAGGTTCATGCCATGACATATGCTATTTTTTAAGATTTTTATTTTTATTATTTTGTAGAGATGAGATCTCACTATGTTGTCCAGGCTGGTCTCAAACTCTTGTGCTCAAGCAACCCTCCCACCTCAGTCTCCCAAAGTGCTGGGATTACAAGTATGAGTCAGCTCGCCTAGCTAGACAATCTTAAAGTATTTGCTTTAAAGGTAATTGATTCAATACCTCAAATTTGAATAAAAGGTAGGATTATTCACATTTAACATTTCACAGCTTACCAATGTTAATACTCCAATCATTTTCACTGTCTTCGTTTTTTTCCTTTTTTGTTTGCTGTAAAAAATAGAATTGCTTCAATTTAAAACTGTTACAAAATGTTTTACAATCAATTGAACATAAATATGTTTAGTTACAATATTCAACTATTATATTTTCAAATATAAGAGTGATGTTCACAAAATGTCAAAATTATTCAGTTCAACAAACATAGCAAGCACAAAAGTAACTGTCGAAGGTACTACAAAGATACATGGATACATAAGAAATGGTCGCCTGCCTTACAGAGCTCACATACACAGGAAAGATAAGTATGCTAACAGTGTCGCTAAGTCAATTAAGTTATTTGTTTTCTAAAATTAAAAAAAATCATGATTTAAAATTAGGAATGTCTATTCTTCTGAAGGATTGTGGAGAGTGGTGTCAGGCAATCTTGTTGGTGATACATTCAAAGTACATCTAGAATTTAACCACTTATCACCAGTTTCATTGCTGTCACCAGTAGGGCAGCCTCCTGCCTAGTCTCTCCACTTCCACCTATGCCGCTTCAGTCTATCTTCAACTAGCAGTCAGAGTAATTATTTCAAAATGCCAAGCCATACACTACTTCTTTGCTCAAAAACCTACAATGGCTTTCCTTTTTCTTACAATAAAAGCCAAAATCCTTGCATTAACCTCTGAGGTCCTACACGATCTGTTTGCTTATTTCCTCTCTGACCACATCCCTACTCCCAAACCTGCTTACTCTGCTCCAACCAGCCTGGACTCTCTGCTGTTCCATGAACTCACCAAACATGTACCTGACTCAGGGTCTTTGCATTGCCAGTTACCTTTTCCGGGAATGCTCTCCCCTTAGATACCCACACAGCTGTCTCCTCTCATTTCTTTCAAGTCTTTGCTCAAATATTACCTTTAAAATAAGATCTACCCTAACCACCCTACTTAAAATTACAAAGTACTCCCCTTTTGTACTCCTGATCCCCTTAACCTGGATTAATGCTTTTTTCCATGGCGTTAATTACCTTCTAACATTGGCTGTGGTTTACTTATTTAGTATGTACATTATTTATGTCTGTCCTCCGTACTATAATATAAACTCTATGAGGGAGTGTGTGTGTGTGTGTGTGTATGATGATTTATATATATATGATGATTTTTACATAAATATGATGCATTTATCCAGGTAAATGATAAAGTTTTACTCATAAGATGATTCCAAATTATGTAAAGTATTGACTAAAATCACTGGACAAACATCTGCCACTAAATATGTTCAAAAGAATGTGCCATGGGCAATAGCAACATAATTAGAACAAGAATATAACTAATTTGATTGAAGCAGGCTTAACTTCCTTTAAATATATTATCTTTGGTCTGCTTTTATAAAAATTAGTTTCACTACATTTGATTTCATAATCATGTGGTCTTAACTTATTGTTAACTTTCTGTATTTCTCTTTTGAGCTGCTTTCTTCTTTCCAGCAGAAGCTGTGGGCTTCCCCTCTGAGGACTTTCCTGGGTTCTGAAGTGTTACTACACCTTTTGTAGGAATAGCTCCTTTGCACACGCATCAAATGTTAAGCCAGTGCAATACATAAATAGACTTCTTCATGAAAATGCCATCTATTAATAGACTCACAGTCAATCCCTGCCTAAACAGCCAGCTGATGAAAACCATATTTTTCTATTGCGTGTGTAAGTACTTCCATTGGAAGTAACACCATCTATCACTTTTTCAATTCTACATGGCAAAACTAAATTTTCTATGAAAAAATACAATGGTGCTTAGAAGAAATACAGCAAGGTTACTGCACAACCACATTAACAGGCTAAAATAATGCTTCAGTTTAAGCATCAGGTAGGCATGTTTTCAGTTAGCTAATCAAGCCCCTAGCAGCTTGAGGACAAACTACAGAGACTGATAAATTTGTCCCTCTGGGTGATCACTTGACACAGGTCAATTTTTTCTGGGTAGCCTGGTATGAACTCAGAGACCGTAATAGCCTCATAAACTATTTCAGGCTAAAGGCGAAAATGATTCACTATTCCCACAGTGAAAGAGGAAACAAAGACACACGCCATTGACTGGGAACTTCTGCCCCGCTCATAAAGCCTGTGAAGTGAGTTTAACAAGGGCCAGGGGAACCGAGAAAGACATGAAGGCAAAGGAAGCGCTGCTTCCCCCTACCACTTGAACAAAACTGATTCGGATGTACAGAAGTTCCCCCTCCCCACCTATCCTCCCAGAAAGGAGAAATACAAATAAGCCTGGCGATGAGAGGAGGGGGAGGGGTAAGACAAGGAGGAAGAGACATAACAGGGGATGGGCAGGAGGGGAGGGAGTTTTTGCTTCACTGCCCTTGTTCAAAAAGCACAGCCATCAACAGCAGATGTCTGACACCCTTTAAGTCTGAACAATCAGATGATGTATATGAAAGTCATTTGTAAAAGTTTCAAGAGTTACGTAATACAATGAATGTTATACAATGCAGATATTCATTGAATCCCCCCTGCACAAAGGGAAGGGAGCACTTTTCAAGACAGCCTTTTCTTCCTGAATCTGTTCCAAAAGGAGCCTCAGTGACATTCTTTGAGGCCACACAACACGTTTGCTCCAAGGTCAGAACCGGATGCAAGACCCTTCAAAGAAGCCTCCAAAACAAAGGTCTTCAAAGGCATCAACCGATTTTTACAACTTCTTTCCAAGGGTGAACTTAGTCCTGCTGATTGGCGTGTAACGGAAAAGCCAGTGGCTGCTGGGGATGTACCTGCTGATGCCCAGTTCAAAGTCGCCCTCCGCGCTCGTGGGGCGCCAGGCTGTTCCGTTCTTTGCCGCCTCAAGATCCATCTCAGCCTGAGGAGAAACCACAGCCTCAGAACCAAGTACACCCTCTCCGGCGGCCCGGCGCACGAGTCGCGGGGCCCGGGGGCACTGGGTGGAGGTCCGGCCACTCCCGCCCCGCGCCCCACGTCCCGGGTCTCCCTTCGAGGCCAGACGCGCCCGGACCTCTCTCACCTCGAACCTCGCGCGTGTCTGGCAGGGCCTCTGGACGCGCGGGCGCTGCAGCAGAGGGGCCTGGACTTTGCTCGCCGCGGCCTCGCCCCCGCCCCCGCCCCCGCCCCCCACGCGCGTCCGGCCCGGGAAACGCCTACCGTTGCAGCCAGGGCGAGGGCCGCGGCCCGCGAGAGCAGCTCCCGCCGCCCGCCCAGCTCTCTCCCCAGGCTAGGCGCGGGCCAGGGGCGCAGCCTGCCGCTCTTGCCGCCGGGGCGCCCGGCTGGGGCCGCCGCCCACCCTGGCGACCCGCCAGAACCAGCCCGGTCGCAGGATAAGACCGAGATCAGGCTGGAGCCTCGGGTGCCGAGAAAGCCTCGCCTGATGGGCCACCCAAGCCCCTGCAGATGACTGTCACACCCCATGGGCGCTCAGTTTTGTTTTTAAACCCATAGGGGAGACAGTTTCCGGACGCCCAACAATCACAGGGCGGCCCAGGACCGAGAGAGAGCAATAGACTCGCCTCTTGCTTCCGCATCCCCAGTTCTGGTCCAGGTGGCACTGAACCCAATTATCTCCAAGGACGGCGAGAGTCAGCCAGGGCCGGCAGGAACCATCACATTATGCTCCTTGGGGAGGAGGAACGCTGTTGGTGCCCTCTTAGCACTTAAGAGACACAGAGTTTTAGGGCTAGAGGGGTCTTCAGCGATCATCTAATTAAAACCCCGTATGTTTAACATATGAAGAAACGGATGCCCAGAGAGGTGAAGTCCTGCCTGAGGCTGCATCGGTGGAACCAGAGTCTAGGGGAAGCCTCCTGAGTCCCAGTCCAGTGCCCTGGCTCACTGCTCTCATCTAAGACTTCTGTCTGTATTGAATTGTCTCTGCTCCTACCACCTATTTGAGTATGACTTTCTTCTTTCTGATTAATTCCTCCACACTCTTCCCAAAAGGAAGTGTCTAAAACGGGGAGCCATAAGTTTCATGGCTTTGAAACCGGAGACTTTCAAACTCAGAGCTTCACATCTTATTAACTATGTGACTTTGGACACTGTGCTCATTTCTCTAGGCCTGTTTCCTTATATGTAAAATGAGGATAAAAACATCTCCCTTATCAGGTTATTGCGAGGAATAAATGAGTTGAGGATAAGGGAATTAAGTACTAGGTAAAAGCACCTAGTACTATGCCTAAAACATAGTAGGTGAGCAACAAATACAACTTTCCTTCCTTCTGATCAGGTAGCAGGATGACCAGTGGGTCCTTGCACCTGCTATGTCCTGTTAACACAATTGTTAGCCCAAGGCTTGTCTGAGTTCTCAGAGAACCTTAAAGCAGAGCATGGTATAAGTAGAGATGCTGGGTGGACCCTGGTGTGAATCTCACCTTTCCCATGTACCAGCTGTCTGGCCAGGTTATGTAATTCTTGACTCAGTCATTGGATCTATAAAATAAGGGTGTTATTAGGATTAGGGATACTGTGTGTAAAGTGTCCTGCACGTAGGAGACACCTAATAAATGGTGACTATTATTATAGTAAAAGTTCAGGCGAGGCCAAGGAAGAAAGACTGGAACAGGAGCCAGCAGCTTCGGCACTCACCCCTTACTTGTGCTGTGCCTCTGCATCCTGCTCTGCCTGCCACCTGGAGCTAAGGTGGAACTTGACTTGAAACTGCATGCTGGAGTAGAAATGAATTTAGTTGAGTATTTTTCCTCAAAATGTTTTCTCTCCATATCAGTCTACCATGACCATGAGGATTCTCTTCTTAAATCAACCCAAATTCCTTCCCTTCACTGGTCTAACAGGCGGTCAGATCATTATTTCAAGATACTCTGAGACGGAAGCAGTTGGAATTGTGTAGTTTGAAAGAAGGCTTGTGGTGACTGGAGGACATTATTAAACTCATTAGCACATAAGGAGATGACAGTTTCTTCAGTCTCTAATAAAAGAGAATTTGATAAAGTAAATGCAGATACTTGAAGGAGTAGGAAGGTTCAGAACAAAAACTAAAGCAAATAACATGTATGAGGCAATGAGGTGTATTTGCCTGTCTGTCTGTCTGAGCCGATTCACAAAGTTGTCCCTGCAAGAAGCCATGCCTATATGGCTGTGTTTACTTCTTTACCTGTATTACATCCAATTCCAGGAGCTCCTTTTATATTTATTTGATAACAGTGCAGTATCACTGAGAATTCCATCATTTATTCATCAACTAGAAGTTGAAGACTTACAATATTTAAAGCACTATGATAAACTAGATTTCTCCATTACACTCAGGCTGTAAGAAATCTTTACTTTCCCTTTACAGTAGAATATTGAGATACTTATGCATTGATGTAAGGCTGGAATTAATGCCCTACCACGCTATCTTACTTTTTCTATTTGCCCCATTGGTTCCATCTTTCTTTTTTATCCTCACTTTTGCCTTATTTTAGATCTGTTTAATATTATCATTTAGATTTCCTTTCTATAAGATGTATTCTTTTATTTTCTATTTAATAATGATCTCCTTTCTAGGGATTATGACATGTATCTTTGACTAATCATTGTACTTTTTCCTCTTCCAGGACAATGCAATGATTTTAGAACTCTTAAGTCTCTTTTTTATTCACCCCTAACTTTTACATTGCCATTGTCATGTACTTTAATTTTCTCTGTATATTCATGACTCTTCTGGGAATATTATTTCTTTATGAGTTGATACTTATTTAGCTTTATCAAAACATTTATCATTTTCTTGCTTTTTGTTTCTTCCTACATCTCAAAGCTACCCTCTTGGATCATTTTCCTTTCACCTAATGAGCACTCTTTCATCTACTGTCTCTTTCTTGTTTTCTTTAGTTTGTGACAAATTTTCTCAGCTTTTTTTTCCTGAAAATTTATTTCACTTTTATCTTGAAAAATTATCAGTTATTTATGGGTTTGCCTTACTAAATAAATATCAAAACTCATTATCAAACTATGGTAATTAGAGACATGTGTTTTGGAATGAGACAGACAAAGTAAAACAGAATCAATATCTTATAACTGATGGAACTAGAATTCGAATCCAGGGAGTATCCTTATCCGCTATGACTAGCAGGGAAGTGGAGATGGAGAACATACGTCAGATGTATCAGAGAGTTAAACACAGTCATTCTTTAATGCATCCTTCAGTCCACTGATCTTACCACCTTTTTACTGTTCCTCACCTCCTTCATGTCTTCTCTCTTAACTCAGCCTGAAAACACCCACAACCCTCTAGCCCTCTCTCTTTATCAGGCTTGCTTAGTAAAACCACAATCCTGGATAATTCAAGTTACTGAGCTACTGTGAACCTACACCATGCAGCAGAACATGTCTGAAGAAAAATACAAAGTCATCGGGCTTGCCTCGCCATGAACTTACATGGCCCTATACTGTATACATAATGTACTTATTATGTTTATTATTTATTGCCCACTCTGTGGGATGCAAGACTTATGAGGGCAAAGATTTTGTAAAATTCACTATGTATCCCAACGTTTACTGACCAATAGTCATAAGATGTTTTCTTAGTTCATTCACTCACCTGCTTTTCTAATAATTATTTCATATCGTCTGTTTTCTCAAATTCTGTTCTTTTACATCTTCACATTCTGCTAAATTACCGTGCTTATTTCACTGATGAAGTTGAAGTGTTTAGAATGGAACTCCATAACCTCCTACCATGATATTTTTCCACTTACCAGCATCTGTACCAACACTCTGCCTTTGCTGTTTCTGTAAATGAACTATTCATGCCTCTCTTTGCAGCCAGTCTTTGTTTGCATGTTCATCCTGTAGATCCCATCCCCTTTCACTTTCACAAGGAGCCATTCTTCCCTTTCTGTCCTATATCATCAATTTCCCCATGCCTGCTGGATCCCTCCTGTGAGCTTACATACATACTGTTATTTCTTCCATCTTGAAAAACAAACAAAAAACCTCTCTTGACCACACTTCCCCTGCCAGCTACCATCATATTTCCCTCTTTTCCTTTGGAGCTAAACTGGTTGGCAAAGTTTATTACTTTCTTCAATTCCTGTTGTTCTCTCTGAAACCCACTCTAAACAGAAGTTTGATCTTTCCACACTACCGAAACTATTTTTATAAAAGTCACTGATAATCTCTGCTTTGCTAAGTCCAAAGATCAATTCTCTGTTCTTATTTTACCTGACAAATTCAATAATTTGACAGATTTATCACTCTGTCTTTCTGAATATATCTTTTTCATATAGATTCCAGGACACCATATGTTTCTCGGATTTTCCTATGCTTTCCTGATCACTCTTCCTCAGTCTCCTTTGATGCCTTCTCTCTCTCTCTTTTTTTCAACTACTTACCTAACACTGGAGTGGTCCAAGGCTCATTCCTTGGACTTCTCAGTCTATTCTCGCCACTTCTGTCATGTCAGTCAGTCACACAGCTTTAAATACCATCTGTATCGAATAATTTCTAACTTTTTGTTTCTAGCCTAAAATTCCCTCTTGCATTCCTGACTCTTAAACACAAGTGCATCTTTGACATTCCTATCTGGATGTTTAACAGACATCTCAAGCTTAACATGCCTAACCTGCTCCTGATCCTTTCCCCAGGCTGGGCCCTCCAGTGAACTTCTGCATCCAGTTGGCAGCTCCAGACTTATAGTTGTCAACAAAAACACTGGAATCATCCTGCATTCCTCTCTTTCTTTGACACACCATAATCAATCTGTCAGGAAATCTTGTTGCCTTTACTTTCAAAATATATTCAGAATCTGACCTTTGCCCTGCACCTCCAGCTCTACCACCATCATGCAAGCCACTATCATCTCCACCTGATTTTCTATAATAGCTTGTTAATTGTCTCTCTGCCTCTGTCCTTTCCTCCTCTTCCGCCTTTGTCCATTGTCAAAAGCATGGCCTGGATGATTCTTTTGAAATGTGAGTCACATCACATCACTCTTCTCTTCACATTTCTGTGGTAGCCCCCAATTCACTCAGTCATGGCCTACAATGCTGTGCCCTCTCCGTGACCTCTCTGATCTCATTTTTATTTATTTTGTCTTTGCCTAACTCCACTCCAGCCACACTGGCCTCTTGGATATTACTCAGACAAGAGAGGCAGCACTCCACCTCAGGGTGTTTGTACTAGTTGTTCCCCCTGTCCAAAATTATCCTCCCCAAAATACTGACATGGAGGACACTCTCACCTCCTAAAAATCTCTTCTCAATTAGAAGTTGGATCTTGTACCCTCAGGACTCTCAGTTCCTCTTATCCTACTTTGATTTTCTTTTCCACAGCATTTATCACCTTCTAGTATACTATATCATTAAAGAATTTATTATGCTTATTGTCTCTTGTCATCTTAGTAGCACATAAGAGCCGTGAGAGTAAAAATATTAATATGTTTTCATTTCATTCGCTGGAATATCCAATAATTGCTGCCCACACTTACTATGTGCAAGGACCTGGGCTAAGGTTTTAGGATAAAAAGTTTTAGGCATATAAAGAAGGATTTAAACAAGGCTAATGCAAAAGTTACTCAGATTATATAGTATTTTATGAATTTACAGAGCCTATCACACATATATATCATCTCATTTGATTCTCAAAACAAGGAGCATGTTCAAGGTAAACAAGTGAGGAACTATTATTCTCAGTTTAGAGGTGGGGATATCAAAGTGAATTTTACACAGCTAGTAAACAATGGAATTAGGCTTCCAGCTCTGGCCACGTGACTTCAGCTTCTCATTCTGTATTCCTATTGAAGACCACTGTTAGACAGAAGCCTTACCTGTTGTATTTCTAGTGCCCACAGCACCAGTGGGCTCAGTAAATGTGTATTGAATAGATCAATATTTTTGAACTATAGCATAAAAGGGTTTGTACAAAAAGAATTTCCTATAAGTAAGAGTCAACAGAGAATAACAAATTCCATCTACCAAAGTATTTTCAAATTATATTCAAATATAAATTAATTAGCAACAATTTTTCCTAAAGAGGGTGCTATGATGGACTCTATTCTCTGTCCTGTTGACTTATATCTTGACAAATATGCTCTGTGGTCTTTTCCCCCACTATATTGCATTTGTGGCTATCTAACAATTCTCCAAATTTTCATGTCTGAAGATAGTGAAAATTTGACTATTCTGTTTGCACTTGGCTGCACTTAACTACTCTTGAATCATTTCCAAACTTTTGGTCACTAATGTTTTTTACTTCTGCTCAAACTACCTTCTCAGAGTTTATAGATCTTAATTTTTCCTGCCTTTACTTCCTTCAACCCATGTTACATCTTATACTTCTCCCAAAGTTTTTTTTTCTTTTTTAAAAAACCCTTCTCATTGCTTGACTCAGAAATTTTTTGCTTTGCCTTTGACCTTTCTCTTAAAAATATTATTTCCTTTTGGTTTCGTTCTTCTTTTGTTCATTATAAAATTCATCTAATTCGGCCCAGCACACCCAAAGGCACTCATAAAGATGTTGAAGACAAGGGTAATACTGATTCAGCTCTCTCTCTCTCTGTTTTCCACTAAACTCTTCCTTATACCTTCATAAACTAGGGTGGACTTGCAAAGGTACCATGACAAGAAGTAGTTAGAAGAATTTGCTATTAATCACTATGTTATATCATTTCTGCCAACGTGGATTAATGGGCACATTGAGAGTTCCAAGGTCACATTGCCTAATGAAATTCTTGTGTTCTGTGAGAGTAATGAAAACCACTGGGTGGACAGGGAGGGCTGCAAGGTGCCAAGGCCAACGATGAAATGGATAAGCAAGAGTAGGGTCACTAGGCTTAAGGTTATTGACATTTACTAACTCTTAAAGTTATTCTAAAGCTAACGCTTTTCAAAATAAAAGAATGACTAAAGGAAGTTCTCTAAATAGAAAATTATAAACAGGAGAAACTTAGAATATCTAGAATAAAGAACATGGTCAAGAAAAATATTGGTAAATACAAGAAACTTTCCTCTTCCTATTGAGTTTTCTAAATTATTTTTTATGGGTGAAGCAAAAATTATATCACTGTCTGATGTGGTTCTAAATATAAGTAAGGGAAATACATAAGACAATTACAAGTGAATGAGAGAGAGTAAAGGGATATAAGGGAGATAAGATTTCTACACTTCACTCAAACAAGTAAAATGATGAAAATAGTAAAGTATGATAAGTTATTTATATATAATGCAATACTCAGAGGACCACTAAAAAATCTACACAAATAGATATAGTCAAGACTACCACAGGTAGAGAAGAAGGGCAGGGCAAGATGGCTGAATAGAAGGATCTACTGATTGTCCCTCTCTACAAGAACACTAAATTTAAACAACTATCTATACACAAAAAGCAACTTTATAAAAGCCAAAAATCAGATGAGCACTCATAGTTCCTAGTTTTAACTTCATATCGCTGAAAGAGGCATTGAAGAGGGTAGGAAAGACAGTCTTGAATTGCTGATGCCACCCTTCATCCTCCCAGCAGTGGCCACATTGTGCGGAGAGAAAAGCTATGTGTTTGGGAGAGGGAGAGCACAGAGATTGTGAGACTGTGCATTGAACTCAGTGCTTCCCTGTCACAGTATAAAGCAAAGCTGGGCTGAACTCAGTTGACACCTGCCCACAGAGGGAGCATTTAGATCAGGCCTAGCCAGAGGGGAATCACCCATCCCAGTTGTCGGAACTTGAGTTCCATCAAGCTTCATCACTGTGGGCTAAAATGCCTTGGGGCTCTAAATAAACTTGAAAGTCAGTGTAGGCCACAAGGACTGCAACTCCTAGGTGATTTCTAGTGCTAAGCTGAGCTCAGAGCCAGTGGACTTGGGGAGGCACATGACCTACGGAGACACCAGCTGGGGCAGCTAAGGAAATGGCTTGCACCACCCTTCCCCCAACCCCAGGCAGCATAGCTCATGGCTCCAAAAGAGATTCCTTCCTTCTGCTTGAGGAGAGGAAAGGGAAGAGTAAAGAGGACTTTATTTTGCATCTTGGTTACCAGCTTAGCCACAGTAGGATAGGGGACTGGTCAGAGTCATGAGACTCACATCCCAGGCCCTAGCTCCTGGACATTTCTAGACATACGCTGGACAAGAAGGGAATCTACTGCTTTGAAGGGAAGGAACCAGTCCTAGCAGGACTCATTACTTGCTGACCTTTGGGCCCCGAATAACCATCAGTGATGCCCAGATAGTACGCCATGGACATGGACCTTGGGTAGGACTCTGAGATGTGCTGGCTTTAGGTAAGATCCAGCACATTACCCGCTATGGTGGCGGTGGTGAGAGACTCTTTGCTTGAGAAAAGCAGGTGGAAAAGTAAAGGAGACTTTGTATTGCACCTTAGGTACCAATTCGGCCACAGGGTCAAAGCACCAAGCAGGCTCTTGGAATCCAGGCCTTGGCTCTTTTATGGCATTTCTGGACCCGCCATGAGCAGAGGGTGCCCACTGCCCTAAAGAATGAGTTCCAGACCGGGCAGCATTCACCACAAGCTGATTGAAAAACCTTTGTGCCTTAAGTGAACCGTGGCAGTAGCCTGGAAGTACTCCCCTGGGCCTGTGGTGGTGAAGGCCAGGGGGCGAGGCTCTCCTGCCTGTGGAAAGGGGAGGGAAGAATGTGTCTAGTGGTTTGAGTGCCAACTAAACTGCACACCAAGTAGATTTCTAAGGATTCTGACTCCAGTCTCTGGCTCTCAGACTACACCTCTCAACCTACCCAGGGCCTGGGGGAACTCACCACCCTGAAGGGAAGGATACAAACGTGGCTAGATTTACTACCAGCTGATTATAGAGCCCCAAGGTCTTGAGCACACATTGGTAGCCAGGTAGTGGTTACATCAGGCCTTGAGCAAGATGCAGTACTGTGCTGATTTCAGGTCTGTCCTAGTGCAGCCCCAGTGGTGTAGCCACAGAGGAACTTGTGTCATCCCACCCCAAGCTCCAGGATGTCCAGCACAGAAAAAGAGAGAGGGAGAGAGAGAGAGAGAGAATTTGTTTGTTTGGGAGAAAGTAAAAGAAGACAACAAGAGTCTCTGCCTGGTAAGAAATTTTCTGGATCTTATCCAAGACCATCAAGGCAGTACCTCTATAAGTCTGTAAGAAACCACAATGTTACTGGGCTTAGGGTGCTCCCTAATGCAGATACAGCTTAGATCAAAATACCCAAGTACTTTCAAACACCTAGAAAAGCCTTCTCAAGAAAGATGGGTACAAACAAGCTCGGGCTGCAAAGACCAAAATAAATACCTAACACTTCAATGCCCATATACTGACCGATACCTACAAGTATCAATACCATCCAGGAAAACATGACCTCACCAAATGAACTAAATAAGTCACCTGGGAACAATACTGAAGAAAGAGATATGTGACCTGTCAGGCAGAGAATTCAAAATAGCTGTTTTGACATATAGACCAATGAAACAGAACAGAGACCTCAGAAATAATATCGCACATCTACAACCATCTGATCTTTGACAAACCTGACAACAACAAGCAATGGGGGAAAGGATCTCCTATTCAATAAATGGTGCTGGGAAAACTGGCTAGCCATATGCAGAAAACTGAAAGTGGACTCCTTCCTTACAACTTATACAAAAGTTAACTCAAGATGGATTAAAGACTTAAAACCCAAAACCATAAAACACTAGAAGAAAACCTAGGCAATACCATTCAGGACATAGGAATGGGCAAAGACTTCATGATGAAAATGCCAAAAGGAATTGCAACAAAAGCCAAAACTGACCAATGGGATCTAATTAAACTAAAGAGCTCTGCACAGCAAAAGAAACTATCATCAGAGTTAACAGGCAACCTATAGAATCTGACAAAGGTCAAATATCCAGAATCTACAAGGAACTTAAACAAATTTACAAGAAAAAAACAAATAACCCCATAAAAAAGTTGGCAAAGGATATGAAGAGACACTTCTCCAAAGAAGACATTTATGCAGCCAACAAACATATAAAAAGAAGCTCAACATCACTGATCATTAGAGAAATGCAAATCAAAACCACAATGAGACACCATCTCATGCCAGTCTGAATAGTGATCATTAAAAAGTCAAGAGACAGTAGATGCTAGTGAGGCTGTGGAGAAATAGGAACACTTTTACACCGTTGGTGAGAATGTAAGTTAGTTCAATCATTGTGGAAGACAGTGTGGTGATTCCTCAAAGATCTAGAACCAGAAATACCATTTGACCCAGCAATCCCATTACTAGGTATACACCCAAAGGAATATAAATCATTCTACTATAAAGACACGTGCACACGTATGTTTATTGCAGCACTATTTACAATAGCAAAGACATGGAACCAACCCAAATGCCCATCAATAATAGACTGGATAAAGAAAATGTGGAACATATGCACCATGGAATACTATGCAACCATAAAAAGGGATGAGATCATGTCCTTTGCAGGGACATGGATGAAGCTGGAAGCCATCATTCTCAGCAAACTAACATAGGAACAGAAAACTAAACACTGCATATTCTCACTCATAAGTTGGAGTTGAACAATGAGAACACATGGACACAGGAAGGGGAACAACACACACTAGAGCCAATTGGGGGTGGAGGGGCAAGAAGAGGGAGTGTATTAGGACAAATAGCTAATGCATGCAAGGCTTAAAACCTAGAATGATGGATTGATAGGTGCAGCAAACCACCATGGCATACGTACACCTGTGTAACAAACCTACACATTCTGTACTTATCTCCCAGAACTTAAAGTAAAAAATAAATAAATAAAATAGCTATTTTGAGAAAACTCAAAGAAAGTCAAGATAACACAGAGAAGGAATTCAGATTTCTATCGGATAAAGTTAACAAAGAGATTGAAATAATTTAAAACAGTCAAGCAGAAATTCTGGAGTTGAAAAATGCAATTGACTTACTGAAAATGCATCGAGGTCTTTTAATGGCAGAATTGATCAAGCAGAAGAAAGAATTAGTGAGTTATTTGAAAATACACAGTGAATACACAAAACTACACACACAAAAAGAATTTAAAAAATGAAACACAACTATAAGATCTAGAAAATAGCATCAAAAGGGCAAATCTAATAGTTATTGGCCTTAAAAAGTAGGTAGAGAGAGTGATGGGGTAGAAAGTTTATTCAAAGGAATCGTAAGAGGGATTTCATCAACACTGGATCTGTCCCACAAGAAATGCTGACGGGAGTACTACAATCAGAAAGAAAGGGATGTTAATGAGCAGTAAGATCATCTGAAGCTACAAAACTCATGGTAATAATAAGCACATAGAACACAGACTATTTTAACAATGTAACTGTGGTGTGTAAACTACTCTTATCTTAAGTAGAAAGACTAAAAGGTGAACCAATCTTTTTTCAAGACATAGGCAGCACAATAACGTATAAATAGAAACAATAAAAAATTTAAAAGCAGAGAATGAGTTTAAGGTGTAAAGGTTTTTTCAGTTTTCTTTTTGCTTGTTTGTTTGTGCAAACAGTGTTAAGTTGTTATCAGCTTAAAATAATCAGTTATAAGATAGTATTTACAAGCCCCAGAGTAACCTCAAATCAACAAACCTACAACAGTTACACAAAAGATATAAAGCAAGAAATTAAAACATACCTTCAGAGAAACTACCTTCACTAAAAGGAAGACAGGAAAGAAAATAGAGAAGATCACAAAACAACCAGAAAACAAATAATAAAATGGCAGGAGTAAGTCTTTACTTATCAATAATAACATTGAATATAAATGGCCTAGACTCTCCAATCAAAAGTCATAGAGTCACTGAATGGATTAAAACAAAACAAAACAACACAAAACAAGACCGAATGATCTGTTGCCCACAAGAAACACACTTAATCCATAAAGATACACATAGACTGAAAATTAAGGGATAGAAAAAGATATTCCATGCCAATGGAAACAAAAAAAAAAAAAGAGGAGGAGTAGCTATACATGTATCAGACAAAATAGATTTCAAGACGAAAACTGTAAGAAGAAACAAGGTTACTATATAATGATAAAGGGGTTGATTCAGCAAGAGGATATAACAATTTTAAATATATATGCACCCAACACTGGAGCATCCAGATATATAAAGCACATATCTTTAGAACTGAAGAGAGAGATAGATCCTAATACAATAATACTTGAAGACTTCAACTTCCCACTTTCAGCATTGAACAGAACTTCCAGACAGAAAATTAACAAAGAAACATTGGACTTAATCTGCACTATAGACCAAATGGACCTGATAGATAGTTACAGAACATTTCATCCAACAAGTGCAGAATACACATTCTTCTTCTCAGCACATGGATCATTCAAGGATAGACCATATGTTAGATCACAAAATAAGTCTTAAAACATTCAAAAACATTGAAATAATATTAAGCATCTTCTCTGACCATGATGGAATAAAACTAGAAATCAATAACAACAGGAATTTTGGAAACTGTGCAAACACATAGAAATTAAACAATATGCTCTTGAAAGACTAATGGATCAATGAAGAAATTAAGAAGAAAATTGAAAAATTTATTAAACAAATGAAAATGGAAACACAACACACCAAAACCTATGGAATACAGCAAAAGTAGTACTAAGAGGGAAGTTTGAAGCTGTAAGTACCCATATCAAAAAAAGGAAAAACTTCAAATAAGTAACCTAATGGTGCATCTTAAAGAACTAGAGAAACAAGAGCACACCAAACCAAAAATTAGTAGAAGAAAAGAGATAATAAAGATGAGAGCAAAAATAAATGAAACAGAGATGAAGAAAACAATGAAAAAAGATCAATGAAAGACAAAAATTAGTTTTTTGAAAAAATAAACAAAATTGACAAACATTTAGCCAGACTAAGAAAAAAGAAGATCCAAGCAAACAAAATCAGAGATGAAAAGGGCAATATTACAACTATACCATAGAAATTCAAAGGATCATTGCTGGCTACTAGGAGCAACTACATGACAATAAATTGGAAAATCTAAAAAAAAAAAAAAAAATAGATAAGTTCCTAGACAGAACCTACCAAGACTGAACCGTAAAGAAATCCAAAACCTGAACAGACCAATAATAAGTAACAAGATCAAAGCCATAATAAAAAGTCTCTCAGCAAAGAAAATCTTGGGACCCAATGGCTTCACTGCTCAATTCTGCCAAGCATTTAAAGAATAACTAATACCAATTCTATTTAAACTATCCTGAAAAATAAGGAGGAGGGAATACTTCCATACTCATTCTACAAGGCCAGTATTATCCTGCTACCAAAACAAAAGACACATAAAAAAGAAAAAACTACAAGCCAATATCACTGATGAGTATTGATGAAAAAAATCCTCAACAAAATACTAGCAAACTTATTTTAACAACACATTAAAAAGATCATTCATCATGATCAAGTGGTATTTTTCCCAGGGAAGAAAGATGGTTCAACATACACAAATCAATCAATGTGATACATCATATCAACAGAATGAAGAAAAGCTATATGATCATTTTGATTGATACAGAAAAAGCATTTGACAAATTCCAACATCCCTTCATGACAAAAACCATCAAAACACTGAGTATAGAAGAAACATACCTCAACACACACAAAAAAGCCATATGTGACAGATGCATGGCTAGTATCATAGTGAATAGTGAAAAACTGAAAATCTTTCCTCTAAGATGTGGAACAAGACAAGGATGCCCACTTTCACCACTGTTATTCGACATAGGACTGTAAGTCCTAGCTAGAGCAATCAGACAAGGAAAAGAAAGGACATCCAAATTGGAAAGGAAGAAGTAAAATTATCCTTGTTTGCAGATGGTATGATTTTATATTTGGGAACACCTAAAGAGTCCATCAAAAAACTATTCAAACTGATAAATAAATTCAGTAAAGTTGCAGCATACAAAATCAACATACAAAAATCAGTAACACTTCTATATGCCAACTGCAAACAATCTGAAAAAGAAATCAAGAAAGCAATCCCATTTACGATAGCTACAAATAAAATCAAACACCTGAAAAGTAACTTAAGAAGGGTAAGATCTCTAAAATAAGTGTTATAAATCATCAATGCAAGAAATTGAAAAGGACACCAAAAAATGAAAAGATACCCCATGTTTATGGATTGGAAGAATCAATGTTATTAAAATGTCCATACTATCTAAAGTGATCTACAGATTTAATGCAGTCTCTATCAAAACACCAGTGAAATTCTTTGCAGAAAAAAAAAATCCTAAAATTCATATGGAAACACAAGACCTAGAATAGCCAAAGCTATCCTGAGCAAAAAGAACAAAACTGGAGGAATCACATTACCTGACTTCAAATTATGCTACAGAGCTAAAGTAACCAAAGCAACATGGTACTGTCATAAAAGCTGGCCCCATACAGCACTGGAACAGAATAAAGAACCCCAAAATAAATCCATACATCTACAGGAAACTCATTTTCAGCAAAGATGCCAAGAATATACACTGGAGAAAGGACAGTCTTTTCAATAAATGGTCTGGGAAAACTGGATATCCATATGCAGAAGAATGAATAAAGGCCTCTATCTCTCACCTTATGCAAAAATCAAATCAAAGTGGACTAAAGACTTAAATCTAAGAAATGAAACTAAGAAACTGCCAAAAGAAAGCATTGGGGAAACTGTCCAGGACACTGGACTGGGCAAAGATTTTTTTTAGTAATATTCCATAAGCACAGTCAACCAAAGCAAAAATGTATAAATGGGATCACATCACATTAAAAAGCTTCTCCAGAGCATAGGAAACAATCTAAAAAGTGATGAGACACCCACAGAATGGTAGAAAATATCTGCAAACTATCCATCTGACAAGGGATTAATAACCAGAATATATAAGAAGTTCAAACAAACCTATAGAAAAAAAAACTCATAATCCGATTTAAAAATGGGCAAAAGATCTGAATAGACATTTCTCAAAAGAAGGCACACAAATGGCAAAGAGACATATGAGCATCATTGATCATCAGAGAAAAGCAAATAAAAACTACAATGTGATATCATCTTACCCCAGTTAAAATGACTTTTATCCAGATGACAGGTAATAATGAATGCTGGTGAGGATGTGGAGAAAAGGGAACTCTTGTATGCTGTTGGTGGGAATTAGTACACCCACTATGGAAAACAGTATGGAGGTGTCTCTGAAAACTAAAATTAGAACTAATATATGATCCAGCAATCCCACTCCTAGGAATATACCCAAAAGAAAGGAAATCAGTATATCAAAGAGATATTTGCACTTTCAAGTTTACTGCAGCACAATTCACAATAGCGAAGATTTGGCAGCAACCTAAGTGTCCATCAGCAGATGAATGGATAAAGAAATTGTGGTACATATACAAAATGGAGTACTATTCAATCATAAAAAATGAGATTCTGTCATTTGTAAACAACATGGATGGAACTAGAGGTTGTTATATTGAATGAAATAAGCCAGGCACAGAAAGACAAACTTCGCATGTTCTCACATATTTGAGGAAGCTAAAAAATGTAACAATTGAACTCATGGAGGTAGGAAGCAGAAGGATGACTACCAGAGGCTATGAAGGGTAGTGGAAGACAGTGTTACGGGAAACTGGGGAAGTTAATGGATATATAAAGAGAGTTAGAAAGAATAAATAAAACCTAGTATTTGATAGCACAATAGGGTGATTATAGTCAAAATAATTTAATTGTACATTTTAAAATAACAAAAGAGTATAATTTTATTGTAACACAAAAGATAAATGCTTGAGGGAATGGATTCCCCATTCACCCTGATGGGATTATTACATATTGCATGTCTGTATCAAAAAATAATAAATTTATACCCCCACTGTGTACACACAAAATTAAAAAATAAAAAAAGAACACCACAGATAAATCAAAATGGATTTTTTTACACTGCTTCAGCAGTGAAAGAAGTGTACTGCCTCATTTCCACAGATCGGGGTAGAAGTTCAGGTTTCTCGCATGATCTCCAATGACACTTGGGGTTGAGGGAGGTGGTCCTTGTTATTGCTGGGCAGAAGTGACAGTTCTGATTCCCCACTGGCCCTCTACTGATGTCTTTCTGGCTGGAAGGAGTAGAAGTGCACTGTTAGTCCCCCCACGTGGCCTCTATGGTGTTGGGGAGATGATCCTGTTACCATTAGGTAGTGTGGTAAGTCCTAAGTCTCCACTAGGCTTCCTCTTCCATTACCCCAGAGGGAAGTGGGTGGGGTGCCTCATTACTACAAGGTGGGAATGAAACATCTGTTCTCTACTTGGCCTTGTCTGACACTACCCTGGGGTGGGGGTAGACAGAGAGTGAGGTTGACATGCCTGGCAAGGGAGGAAGTCAAGTCTCCCTACTTTGCTTTTGCTGGAGTGAGTCTGGGTGGTGTCACAGTTTTTTCTACAATGTTTGGCTAGAGTAGAGTGACTGCTGTTTCAACGTGTTCTCTCTTGCTAGGCTGTCCCTTTCTGAGTCCTTTTACTAGGAAGGGCAGGACATTTTTGTCTGTGTACATTGGCATTTTTGGATTTTTGCCTTCTTTTGCTCCAAGTCTGAGATATAGGAGGCAAACAAACAAACCAGAAACTCACCACCATGTGTCATTCCTCAGATCCCAGGATCCTTAGCTAGTCTGTCTTATTCTCTCCACATTTCCATTGTCTTATGTTTGTTTTATTTATAATGTTCAGTGTTTTTAATTGTACTTAGTAGGACAAATAGGAAAAAGTATGTCTACTCCATTTTCCCAGAAGTTGCTGCCTAATTTTTTAAATCCACATTTCTCTAATAGGGTACAGAGGCAAAGGATGAATATTCTAAAATCAAATTAGCCAATCTTTGCGTTTGTTCATCAATAGAAGAAGGGCTGCAAAGTATTAGATAACAAGATTTATCTAAGTCATCTGCTCATTTTCCTCCTTCTCACTCTCTTACCCTCTCAGTAACATCCTGTCTATTTCATCTACTTACACAAATCTGTGTATTTTTCTAGATAAGACATGAAGGTGGGTGGACATTGTCTCAGTCCGGCCTCATGCTTACTCCACAGTAAAACATGAAATCAGATGCCAATAATTATAGACCTCGCCATAGCAGGACAATAGGCAATGTTAAAAAATGAGAGGATGTGCTCTTCATTTGTGTAGCCATAATTTATATACTAACTACACTAATTGCATTAATTATATGATGTTACATTATATTATACTACATTCGTTATACCTATTTTGCATCTTTACTCTTCTATTTGACAATGAGCTCCTTCAGGGAAGAGGATGAACCAAATCGGTTATCTGGAACATTGCAAGCCCCTGATAAATGCTCTTCTTTCTCTTCTTGCCCACTCCCTTTTCCACCACCAGCTAGTTCAGGAATTAAGGCAGAAAGACCAGGGGAGAAACATCCACAACTAATCTAGGCTTGAAGGCTTGAAGAAGACCTCTGAATGAATAACCAGGTAGGTCTCCATCAGTCCCTCAAGCTGGATCTTGCAGGAGGTGCTGGCCACCTTTCACCTGACCCCATACATCTTTGGAGATCCTGATTTATGCAGACACCAATGATTGGAAGGAAGGGTTGCGGTACCCTGTCTTCCACTTCCCTCTTTTAGAGTTCTGGCCAATTTTGTCAATATTTATTCATTTGTACAATAAATACTTATGGAGGAAGAGCAGGATGGAGTGAAAAGCATACCCACAGGCAAGGTTTTCCAAACTGTGACGTGAGGAATGCCAACAGGTGCTTAGTGATAACGAGTGTTCCATGATGAAGTAAGTTTGAGAAATGCTGCTTACCACACTCAGAAGATCACAATGCACATCACAGATCCTGAGAAGCTCTATAGTTAAAAAAAAGTCTTTTAACTTTGTTTCCAGTGTTTCCCCCTTTCCTGACACTGCAAAATACTCGCTGAAAGCACAATATTAATAATTTCTTTAAACTTATTCATAAAGCTACTCCTAAGAAAAATAATCCTAACAATTCCAAGAGCAGGGAAACAATGCCAAAGACAGATGCAGGTGAAGAATGGAGACATGGAATAAAGAAGGTGTGATGTTAATTTGACTGAGTCAAAAAGTAGATAAGGATATGGTGGAATATAAAAGAGATTTGATACAGTAGAGGCTAAGAACTAGGAGGAATTTAGACTTTCAGAGTTTATTGAGAGGATTTTGAGAAAGCAATGATTATACTGGTCAAGAATGGTGGATTCTTTTGCCATAATTTGAATTGTCATGTATCAGTCAAGGTCTCAGCATGAAACAAATGGCATATTCAAATTAGGATATTCAAGGAGGATGTAATGAAGGAACTATTTAGAAAGGTAGGAGTAGAACATAGGGCATAGTGGATATACCATAATAGATAGCAAAATATCTTGGGGCCACAAACACTGGGGAGGTGTATGGCCTTCCCTAGGCCAGCATGGATGAGGGAAAGGAGCAGTTCCCAGAAGCCATATTGAGCATCATGTAGATAGAACTGCTTCAAGAAGAGCAGTGATCCACCCCAACTGTCTCCAGGCACCCCCTTCAGCTGAACCCACAGAAGTCAACTTCCTAAAGTAAACAGCAGTGTGGAGGGGAGGGTGGAGAATAGATATGGAATGGCAAAAGGAAGATATCTGGCACATGTCTGAAGCTGAAGAATCTGGAAACTGCCAGCAGGTATTTTAACTCTACCATTTCCTGACTAGCTATGTCTGTTCATGATTCATGCAACACTTTTATTTGTTTTGTCCTTCCTTCTTCCTCTACTTTTACTTTAGGATCCAGGGGTACATGTGCAGATTTCCTACATGGGTAAATTGTGTGTTGCTGAGGCTTGGTGTACAAATGATCCTGTCATCTAGCTAGTGAGCATAGTACACAATAGGTAGTCTTCCAAAGCACACATGCCCCCACCTTTCCCTCTCAAGTAGGCCCCAGTGTCTATTGTTCCCATCTTTGTGTTCATGTATATTCAATGCTTAGCTACAAATTATAAGTGAGAATATGCAGTATTTGGTTTTCTGTTCCTGCGTTAGTTTGCTTAGGATAAGGGCTTCCACCTGCATCCATGTTGCTGCAAAGGACATGACTTCATTTTTTATGGCTGCATAGTATTCCATAGTATATATTTACCAAATTTTTGTTATCCAATCCAACATTGATGGGCATCTCCATTGATTCCATTTCTTTGCTATAGTGACTAGTGCTTTATGCAACACTTTGAAAGACAGCACCCATTGTGTCAAGACATTGTGTTGAGACAGTGAAGACACAAAGATAGTAAGATAGAGACTAGCCCTTAGGTATGTAAAATAGCTATAAACAGAGTGAAAATAGGAAATAATTAAAATATAGAGTGAAACATAAAGAAATACAGAAAGCATAAGGGAGTTCAGTGCAGAGAATTTTCATAGCTAACTTATGACTTTAGCCTTGATGGGCAATGCAATAAAATTGTTGGCTAAGGTAGCCTTTCTAGCATAAATGCAAATATCAAGAATTTTAAAAGAAGTATTTAAATCTAATTTCAGCTATCAATGAATGAATTTAATTTCATTACTATAACAAAAAATAATCCATAATCAAAATTTTAGCTACTCAAAAAAGTTGCTTTCTGAAGTAAAGTATATGATAAACACAAATTCATAAATGCTAATTTTTTTGTGAAACACCAGCATTTTGTGTTTAGTCTCTGACACTTTTAAACAGTCCTAAAAATATTTGTTCTCGTAAAGGAAATCCTTAGTATTGTTTTAAATAAACTTTAACCTATTTCCTTTTTGGCATATTTCTCTCCAGGCTTTGTCTATATGCATATGTTCTTGACCTGGACTCTCTGAATCCAAAGAACTTTATACCATTCTTTAATTAAAAGAGGTAGAATATTGTGGTCATGGGGTTTTTCAAATAATTCGGGAAATCTCAGCCATATTTTGGCTAGACCTGGCACTATCCCAAAATAACATGGAAAATCATTGATAAGTCCTGCATGAGTCATCTGTTTAAACTGAAGAATTGGGATAACGGTGTCATTGCCCATGCTGATCGAGACGTTTTGCACAAGAGAGAGTTGACAAGGGACAATGAACTCTTTCGGAAATTAAAAAATAATTTGTACTAAAATCTTGATGAAAATAGAAAGCCTCAACTGCAAACTGGCTTGAATATATAACTAAAATATTATATTTATGACTTAGATAATATTGTTTAGTTTTGTCTTTCTATTCTTGATTTAAAATAATATATATATAATATATATATATTTACACACACAAACATACATATATATTCCTTCCCTCACCTTGCCTTTCCCCCCATCCCCAAATAGAATAATGTGATTCCCTGCCTATGATATTAGAATGCTGTGTGCACCAACCCCCATGCTTGTGGTTGAAATTCTACAGATACAAAAGCTCTCTTGCAGTCTACCCACACATTCAGGAGTCACAAGGCAGGTGTCTGAAGTTGGTCCTTTTTTCCCTTTACTTATGGAATTTGTAAAGTGTTATATTTTCATCTTTATAATGGAAAAAGTAAAATGTGATTTATTTTACAAAATTTCACCGCACAGGTACATTTGAAAGAATAAGGCCACTCTAAAGTGAGGCATATCTCAACACTCATATTATTTCAAAAGAATCACAACAAAAATAAAAATAATAAAAGCTATTCTGGCACACAATATCCTTCAGGCTCAGGTCCTGCCTGGCCCTGCCCCATTCCTTGGGGCCTCTACCCACCCTTCCTCACACCCAACATCTAAAACTCTGACCGCACTGAATCACTTCTGGTTCCAGCCTTCTAAACTGTTCTATACTGCTCTCCACATCCACACTCCTCCTCTATTGTCCATCTGACATGCATCTATTCCATTATCCAGGAAGCTTTTTATTTAATAGACTTTCTTTTTTCGAGCATTTTTTAGATTCACAGCAAAATTGAGTGGAAGGTAGAGAGACTTCCCATGTACCTCCTATTTCTACACATTGATTGCCTTCCCACCAGAGTGGCACATTTATTGCAATGATTCCTCTACACTGACACATCATCACCCAAAGTCCAAATAGTTTATTTTAGGGTTCACTCTTGGTATTGTACATTCAGTGGGTTTGGGCAAATGCATAATGATATGTGTCTACCACTGTAGTATCTTATAGAGTAGTTTTACTGCCCTAAAAAATTATCTGTGCTTCATCCCTCACTCCCCCAATCTCTAGCAACCACTGATCTTTTTACTATCTCCATAGTCTTGCCTTTTCCAGAATGTGATGTAGTTGGAATTATACAGTTTGAACCTTTTCAGATTGGGTTCTTTCACTTAGTAATATGCATTTAATTTTCCTCTGTGGCTTTTCATGGCTCATTTCTCTTTAGCATTGCGTGATATTTCATTGTCTTGATGTAACACAGTTTTTCATCTATTTACCTTCCAAAGGACATCTTCGTTGCCCTGGAATATTTTTTAGCCCTTAAACCACTCTCCAGAGAGGTAACTGCTCTTTTCTTGGTCCCCACTACCACACCCCACCATCTTGCATCATGGCATCAATGCACATTACTAAACTTATGTCCTGTCTCCTAAGCTGTAAGCTCCTTGTCTAATCATTGTGCTCCCAATATCTAGGCCAGTAGGCACTTAAAATAATTGCTACATGGATAAATACAAAAATTCCTTTTCATGCAAGAGAAGTGGTAGCTTTGAAGAGCAAGAAAAATATGAAATGAAGGCAATCAGCTTTTTTTTTTGCTTATATCTTAAGTATTGGGTATTGTCTTAAATACTTCATTACAGTATTTAGTGCTCAACTAATTCAATGAGGTAGACATTGAAATTCCATTTTTTCCAATGCAGAAATAGGGGCTTAAAAAAAGTAAGTAACTTGCCCAAGAAGCCACACATTTTAGCAAACTGGCAGCCAGAACAGAAGCCCAGGTTTCTCTGACTGGAGAGCCTAGGAGCTTGGCTATACACCAAGCATAATCATACTCTTACACAGCGTCTTGTGTAGAGAAGGAAATCATTTAAATTTAGCCACCCAGTTGAGAAAGCGAAAACTGGGTTTCAACTCAAAGGTCACTTTTCCTTTTGACCCAAACTGACTCTTTTGAAAGAGCCCAGGTAAAAATATTTCATCATATATCTTTGCCCTTGCACATATCTGTAAGCATTCCTGCTTTTCTCTTTGCTATTCTGATTTCTCCAAACTGCAAGGGCAGAGGTCTTTCATCTCAGTGTCGGAAGTTCCAGCTGGGACAAAGGACTACAGTTGCAGGAAGTGCTCCCTGAAAATCTTGTGTTTAATCTTTGTTTTTTCCCAAGAGCAACAAATCTCTTATTTTTTTTCATTTAACAAATATTTTTATTGAAGACTTTTGATATGCCAAGTATTGATAGAGGTATTGATGTATACAATGATAAACCAGGTGCCCACCATGATATTGCAGCTAAGAGGGATTTTTTTGAAGATCAAGAGAGTTAAGGTCACTGAAAGTCCTTGATAGGCTCTGGAACTAGGAGGGTTATTACTTGTTCTGGTTATGAATTGGCTTAAAACAAATGGTTTTTATGATATCTTCTAGTTGTATAGATTGACTGGGCTCTGCTGAGGGTTCTCATCTCATGAGGTTGCGGTCAGATGCTTATTGGGTCCATCTTGGGGGCTGGCACTTGATGCTGGCAGTGGGCTAGGTCAGGTTACATAGTCACCCCATGTAACATGGGCTTTTCATAGAATAGTGACTGGATTCTGACAGTGCAGGATCATCACAGTTCAGGATCTGGTCCTTGGCTTAAAATACCCTGAAACCTATTTTGTCAAGCAGGGGTCTCAGAGGGAGACCCTGGAGATGGTGGGCACAGGACAGGAGCAGCAGAACCTTCACCAGGAGGATCCCCCCTGGTCCTGTGACCCATGCGTCCAGCTCGGGGCCCTCAGGTGGGGGCTGCAAAGAAGCTGGTTGTCCCTTGAAAGCTGGAGCAAGTGAGCAGGTACACTTGGACCTGAGGCTGTGGTTTTTCCCCAGGCTGAAGTGGATCTTGAGGTGGCAAGGAATGGAACAGCCTGGCGCCCTGGGAGAGTGGAGGGTGACTTTGAACTGGGCATCAGCAGATGTATGCCCAGCAGCCACTTGCTTTTCCATTACATGTGAATCAGCAGGGCCAAGTTCACCCTTGGAAAGAAGTTGTAAAAATCGGTTGATGCCTTTGAAGGCCTTTGTTTTGGAGGCTTCTTTGAAGGGTCTTGCATCCAGTTCTGACCTTGGAGCAAGTGTTAAGTGGCCTCGAGGAATGTCACTGAGGCTCCTTTTGGAACAGATTCAGGAAGAAAACGCTGTCTTGAAAAGTGCTCTCTTCTCTTTGTGCAGGGGAGATTCAATAAATATCTCTGTTGTATAACATTCCTTGTATTATGTAACTCTTAAAACTTTTACAAATGACTTTCATATACATCATCTGATTGTTCAGACTTAAAGGGTGTCAGACATCTGCTGTTGATGGCTGTGCTTTTTGAACAAGGGTAGTGAAGTAAAAACTCCCTCCCTTCCTGCCCACCCCCTGTTATGTCTCTTCCTCCATGTCTTACCCCTCCCCCTCCTCCCATCGCTAGGCTTGTTCTTTACTTCTTCTTTCTGGGAGGTGAGGTGAGAAGGGGGCTCCTACATAGCATCCTGTGTACCTGTCACCCAACTTTCTTCCATGATGACATGTAGTGACTGTAGTTCAAAATCAAATCCAGAACACTGAAATTGGTACAATACTGTTACTGTACTACTACAACTTTCATATATATATATTTTCTTTTCTAAAATTAAGAGCACACAATTTGCATAAGTCTTTTCTCTTTTATTCTGTATAGTGGGTAAGGCTCAGTCCTCAGGTGTTACTGTAATGATGGGCTTCCCTATTTTTCATGTACAATTACATGGCTTTAGATAGGAATCTTCTTTATATATTTTATATTAACAAAAGCCTTTTTAGATATTAATTTGTGATAAAATGAAACTGACCCAGAAAAAGTACACACTTTTTCACACACACAAAAAAAATTGGCAAAAGAACAGACACTTATTGAGCCTCTGCTATATGCCAAGGACTTTGCCAAACACCGGAACACAGTGACGCAAAGACAGTCCTCTCTCAAAGGGTTCACACATCAGAGCATGAGCCTTAAGCTGAGATATAAGAAAAACGCATTTCTAAAAAAGACCTCTTATTGAGACCTGGGGACAAATGGCTGCATTATGTGTCAGGAAAGAGACTGAAGCACATTTTGTCCCAACATCAGGAGTTGATTCTGGTGAACCAAACAGAAGAACCACCATTGTTAAAGTTGGGTATAACTGGATAATCTGGGGTGGAACTAAGAAAATAAAGAAGCCTGGGCTAGAAAAGGATTGAACTCAAACAAGTCGCACATGCTGGGATCCATCTGTGTTTTGCCTATATCTTGAGGGCCACACCTCAAACATCTATTACTTTGATATCATCTTCAAGCCATACAAACAAATCCTCCTCCTTCTAAAGAGTTCCTCATCTCCCTCACTGTCACAGTATTTCCCAGCTGGCCTCTATTCTCCCTCCCTCTCTTACTAGGCTGTGAGTGTTTCTCATAGCTACCTGTTCTCTGCTTTTACCAGCCCAACTCAGAGCCACATTACCCTCGTCGCTTGCATGTTTTCTCTTAAATAAAAGCATCTTATTTAGCTTCATTGATTTGAGGCATGTATTAGTTTCCTGAGACTACTGTGACAAATTACCACAAGCATGGTGGGTTAAAACAACAGAAGATTCTCCTCTCCTAGTTCTGGAAGCCAGAAATCCAAAATCCAGCAGGACTACAATTCCTTCATGGACTCCAGGGGATAATCCATTTTTTTGTCTCTTCCAGCTTTTGGTGGCTGCTGGCATTTCTTGACATGTGGCTGCATCACTCCGATTTCTGCTCCCATGATCACATCACCTCCTCTTCTTCTGTGTCAAACCTTCTTGTGCCTCACTTTTATAAGGACACTGGACCTTGGATTTAGGGCCCACCAGAATAATCCAGGATGATCTCCTCAAGATCTTTATATCTGTAAAGACCTTTTCTACAAGTAAAGTCACATTCATAGTTTTTGAGGATTAGGATCGGAGATGCCTTTTTGGAGGCCACCATTCAACTCACTGCAGGGCTTTTCCTGTCCAATCCCTCTGAGTGGGTATCAGTATTTTCACCACATTATGCTCCTATTCAGAGTCATCAATGGTTTTTCATTTTCTCTCTCTTCAAATCTGAATTACTCTGCCTGGCATTCTAGGCTTACCACAATTTGGCCCCACCTAAATTTGGTACCCCACCAACATCCCATAATTTACTTCACCAGACATTTAGTAGTGTCTACTATGCCTAAGACACTGTTTCTAGGCTTTTGGGGACACCAAGATAAATACAGTGTCACCCAGCCTTCACAGAGCGTGTGGCCCTGCTGAGGAGACAAATTTACACAGCTGACTATGAAACACAACACAACAAACAACACAGTCCCTTCCCACCAGGCAGCCTCTGCACTATGCACACTCCCGCTACTCTGCTGCATTCATCCATTCTCACACTGCTATGAAGACCAACACTTGGTCATTTATAAAGAAAAGAGGTTTAATTGACTCACAATTCCACAGGCTGTACAGCAGGCGTGGGTGGGGAGGCCTCAGGAAGCTTATAATCATGGCAGAAGGGTGAAGGGGAAGCAAGAACATCTTCCCATGGTGGCAGGAGAGAGAGAGAGGGAAGCAGGAAGTGCTACACACTTTTAAACAATCAGATCTTGCGAGAACTCACTCACTATCATGAGAACTTGCTGTTCTGCTGCCACAATCCAATCGCCTCCCACCATGTCCATTCCCCAACGCTGGGGATTACAATTCAACATGAGATTTGGGTGGAGGCACAAGAGCCAAACCATATCACATGCTTTTAACTATTATCCATGATGTGTGACACAGTTTGGTACTTAATCACATAGTCCTACAGCTTCACTACTGTAATCACCTTTTGTGTCACTCAAGAAAATGTTTCTTAAACATAAGAACTTCTGCTTCTCTTACTTTTTACCAGAGTTATTATAGGAGTGTTACAAATAATGGTGTACATGTCTTTGTGTGAGACTTTGCTTGTACTAAAATCATTTGTTGCATCTGAGATCACTGGTTGAATGTGGTAATTGACCCTGTGAGGTAAATTTGGAGAAAATAAATGGTGTGAAAAAGAGCACCCCCTCTCTGACAGCCTTTAATGCTAAAGGGGCAGCAATATACTCAAGCAGAAAAAGCTGGAGGCCCTGGGAGGGGCTCCACCTCCATGCAACTCCAGCCAGGGCAAAACAGTGAATAGGGAAACATGGTTCAGAGAGAGCCAGCGAGTGTCACCAACTACAGCAACTAGACTGTGCAAACGACAGTAAAAAATACTTTTATTTTTCTTTTTATAGACATCTAAGAATTTTTATCCCAGCTACTCAGGGGGCTGAGGCAGGAGAATCGCTTGAACCCAGAGGTGGAGGTTGCAGTGAGCTGAGATCACCACTGCACTCTAGTCTAGCCTGGTCAACAGAGCAAGACTCCGCTTCAGAAAAAAAAAAAAAAAGAAAGTGTCCTTACAGCAGACATACAAAGAGTTGAGGGAAAAATCTTTAAGAAGTCAAACCAAGTGACATGGTTTTATGCTTCTATTCACATAAATTTATCGAAATTTCCTAAACTAAGCACACTTTTTAAAGCCTTAAAATTTTAAAACAAAAGCTGAAAACTTAGGAGATAAAATTGTTTCTAATTCTGGTTTATTTTGGATTGTCTCTCAGAAGTTTAAATATATATATAGTATATATAATTATATATATTATATATATTATATATATAATATATATTATATATATAATTATATATAATTTTATATTATATAATTATATATATTATATATATAATTATATATATAAAATTATATATAATTATATATATATAAAATTATATATAATTATATATATATAAAATTATATATAATTATATATAGACTGTATCTATAGTTACAGATACATAAATATAGATAGATAACTATAGATACATAAATATAGATTTATATTATATATATAATATTTAAAAAGCCACCATATTGTTCAAGCCATTTGGCAACCATTTTTTCTTTATACAAATTATATTTTGTAATATTCTTCAACATAATTTTCTAATGATTATATGGTATTCCATTTTGTGAATGCACCAAAACTTAATGTATAATTTCTTACTGTTAAATATTTAGATCTTTCCAATTTTCAATATTATAAGTAATGCTACTAAAAGTATCCTTTTACATATCTCTTAAATCCTTATAATTACAATTGCTGTCTTGAAGGATATACATTTACATTTTTTACTTACATTATCAAATAACAAAGAAGTTTATATCAATGACCAATTCAACTAATAAGGAATGTCACATTAGATTTTTTTATTCATCATTAAATTACAAGGCAAAAAAATGATATTTTGTTTTAATTTGCATTTATTTGATTGTTGAAACTGTATACATTTTTCTCATGCATTTCTTCTTTGAGAATTACCTGATTATATCCTTTCCTATTTTTTTTTCCTGGAGGTGATGGCTTCTTTTTTTTATTTTTAGAAGTTGCTTATTTAAGATAGCAATTGTTTATAGTAAATATAGTTTATAATGTTAATAATGCTTTTTGGCTAATTTAAAAAAATTTGTCGTCCAGAGTCCCAACCTTTGGAATATATTTTTTTCTTTTTTTATCATGTTTGTATCAAGATGTAGTTAAACTCATGGCACATTTTAAACATCTGTAAGTCAGAAGGATCACTTTTGGAAGAGGCCAATTACTGGCAAAAGTGATTCATTATCAAGACAAAAAGTAAATGTACTTTGGAAGTGTAAAAATCTTAAAAAATCCTTAAAGAACCCTTTATAAAAGCAATGCAAAGTATTTACTATACATCTGAATAATATGCACTTCATAATTGTGCCTCACCCCACCTCCTAAAATCTTATATCGATCTGTGTTTTGGGTTTGAGAGCCACCTTAATGTGGAAATGCAAGAATCAGCAGGATCAAGTCCAAGAAGAATGAAGCCAGATGGTTCTGTAAGACCCAATGTGAATAGACATATACAACAGGAATTATTTAAACTGCTTAACCATTCCCACAAAAATGAGTAGGTATATTTAAAGAAAACTTTTTTAAAGCAGAAGTTATCTACAATATTCCAATTGAGAGAAGATATATTCACAGGCAGTTTGGACAAGATGACTCCAGTCACATGAAAGTTTAGTTTTATTATAGACACTTTATGCAAACATTTCAATACTTTTTGCTACTTCTATAATCTTTTAGCAAGGCAGTCAGTTACAGTCCAAATGGGAAAATATAAACAAAATTACACATTTTATCTTTTAAAATCTACTTTAATTCTGTTATAAAATTTATAATGCAGTTTAAACTATGATTTCTCTCCACTTGATGATGTCTCTCACTCTGTTCCTTTAATTACGAAGTCTCTGAAGACTCTGAACTTGACTGAGGAAATGTTAAACAGATACCTCTTCATAATTCTGTAAGTGTTTGCTTTTAACTTTGAATAAATGTCATATCTAAACAAATATTAAAAAGTATTTAACATCTCATACAGTCAGAGTTCACTGGCGCTTTGTTCCAGCCTGGACACTGACCATTGAAAAATAGATGCCTTTCTGTGCCAGCAGCTGCTGATGCGTGCCATGCTCCTTGACTCTGCCATTCTGAAACACCACTATTAAGTCTGCATTCTGGATGGTGGACAGGCGGTGAGCAATCACAATGCAGGTGCGGCCTTCTCTGGCTTTGTCCAGGGCTTCTTGGACAACCTATTCCATAATCACATAGATTAATTCTCATAATAGTTCTTTTCCCTAATTCCTCTTCCATAAAAAGCTCCACAGTAGGACGGGCATGGTGGCTCACGCCTGTAATCCCAGCACTTTGGGAGGCCAAGGCGGGCAGATCACAAGGTCAGATTGAGACCATCCTGGCTAACACGGTGAAACCCCATCTCTATCAAAAATACAAAAAATTAGCTGGGCTTGGTGGTGGGTGCCTGTAGTCCCAGCTAGTCGGGAGGCTGAGGCAGGAGAATGGTGTGAACCCGGGAGGCAGAGCTTGCAGGGAGCCAAGATTGCGCCACTGCACTCCAGCCTGGGCGACAGAGCGAGACTCCATCTCAAAGAAAAAAAAAAAAAAAAGCTCCACAACAATACAACAATAGATCCTTCTTAACAAGGTGTCAGTGAAATAGAACAGGTTTTTGAAAACAAAGGATTTGTCATATCAGATGACTGAACCCTAATTTGGGTTAGTTCCGAGGCAGCAGTTATCTATCCCTAACTTTTTTTTTTTATTTGAAACAGGGCCTCACTCTGTCACCAGGGTGGAGTGTAGTGGTACAATCATGGCTTACTGCAGCCTCAACCTCCTGGGCTCAAGCGATTCTTCCACCTCAGCCTTCTGAGTAGCTGGGACTACAAGTTCCCACCACCATGCCTAGCTAATTATTTTATTTTTTGTAGAGACAATGTCTCTCTGTGTTACCCAGGCTGGTCTCAAAAATCCTGGGCTCAAGTGATCCTCCCACCTCAGCCTTCCAAAGTGTTGGGGTTACAGGTGTGAGCCACGGCAGTAGGTGCCGGCCAGCAGTCATCTACTCTTAAAGTTAAGGCAGTAAATACAGTTCACTGACTCATTTAAAAACATTTACTAATGTGTTTACCTTAGTTTCAAGGATGTTACAACATCCTTGAAAACAGACCTCAAATCCAGCTCACAGTAAATTCAAGAAGCCTGAGCAAAGGCCAAATACAGACTCCCGAATTTTTTTATTGTAGAGAATACCTCATACTGAGTTCGTCTTTCAGATAATCTGAATTTTTAACGTTTTCTCTGACTAGAAATGATTGCTAATATTTATCTTAAAAGGTACAGCCAGATTTTAACACTGTCTTACACTACCACTTTTCCTTATGGTTGCTGAAGAGATGCTGCCAGTAGAAGTAGGAAATATGGTTCCTGAAAGCAGCTTCTTAGGTCAACGCAAACTGATCTAGTGATGGTTTGTGAAGCATATGTGCTCTAAGACTAATCTGCCTTGTGTCATCTTTACTCTCCTGAATAACAGCTACAGAAAGTGTTTACATTTTACTGAAAGGTGATGTAAGTAACTGTCAATAATCTGGCTGCATTTTGTTCTTTACTATGGAGAATACAGCATTTTTAAGGATGACTGATTCAAGTATGGATGAACCCAATTTAAATTCTTACCTTTTCACTTTCTGTATCCAGAGCTGACGTGGCTTCATCCAAAAGCAAAATATGAGGCTGTCTAACAAGGGCACGAGCTATGGCAATGCGTTGTTTCTGGCCACCAGAGAGCTGAGTTCCTTTGTCTCCTACTTTAGTGCTATATTTCTGTAAATAAGGTTTTGTTGTTATGAAAGTAGAACTGAAAGTAAAGTTCTAACAGCTTGCTTATAGAAAGTAGGATAGACGATTCTATATACTCCAAAAATTTAGGTTCAGAAGCTAAGAATGGTTCATGAATAATTAAGGAAAGAACAGTAAAAAAGCCCAAAATGGCAGGTTTACTATCTATTTGAAAATAAATGTTTGGGCCTTAAGATGATATGTTTTAGTGTAAACAGGTCAGCATTTTAATGAAGAAGAATATTGTTGCAATGTTAGTATCTTCCATCTTCTGATTTCATTATATTTGGGACAAAGATTGGCAGGAGAAAGGAAATTTGATTTGAACAAAGTATTCATAATAAAATAATTGAAGCTCATCTTACTTGTAACCAGCAGGTGACACTCTCTGCATGATTTTAAATTGAGGAAAGACATTCTTGGGATATCAGCCTTTTAGTGTCTGTTTTTATGAAAGTATCTCCAACACTTAAACAATTTTAATGGATGCTATCAAAATGGATTCCATTTTGATATCTAACTTTGAAAATGAACATCTCCTTTTTAAACATTTTTGTTGTTAGAGTGCTCCCAAAATTCTTCCCGTGTTGTTTCCCACAATGGATAATTGTCACCAACTATTCACTATGATGATAGGGACAGCAGTTAAAGGTTACTCAGGAGAGAGCAGAAACAGGATGTGACTGCACTTGTAACCTAGAAAACAATACTATCTTATTATTTCCAGGCTGAAATTTTAGTACAGGGTTGCCTATTTTTATTTGCTATATCTGGCAACCCTAGTTTTGTGGCACTCAGCCCTGGGTTTCCCCCTGTAAATAGAGGGAGAAGACGCCAGATGAGGTTTTGGCAGATGCTTGGGACTGGCTCTACCCCAGAGCTGTGGCTGTCTCAGAAGGCAGGAGCACTGAAGTGTATCTCATGTGAGTGGAGGGTTTACTAGTTGCACTCTTGATATAGTACTGATCCTGTTGAGGCAGATAAAGGCAGTGCGGCAGTCTTACAAGGAGGTAGCTAAACCAGCCACCTACAGGGTGAGGTAAATCCTAGTATTAATCACTTAGGAGAAGTGGATCCTTAGGTAATAGGACTTAGGGGTTTTACCTTTTCTCTCCTGGTCTAGACACTGAGGAAGAGAATTATGGTGTCTACAGGTGTGTTCTGTGTGACAGATTAGAGACCAGGATTTGTCCTGTGGTAGACAAATGCCAGAGAGGCAAAGTATATTTAAAAAGATAGATAATAGTTACTCTCTGTGTTTGTGTTTTATTAACCCCTAGCCCAGTGGTTCCCCAATTTGAGCCTGCAACAGTATTACCTGGGCTCTTAAAACGTGGATTGCTGGATCTGCAGTCCTAACAGGTTCCCAGGTGATGCTGATCCGTGTCTATACTTGAGAACCACTATCCTCTCATCAGTAAAGGGGATTGGAGCTTTCTGTTTTAAATGTTTGAGCCTGGAGAAGGGTCAATTATCTAGTTGGGCTAGACTGTGAAAGGAGAGTGGGAGACAAGGCCACCTCCCTGGGACTTAATGAGATTGGTGTCAGCAGTTATCCAAAGAAGAGCCTATGGAAGAAGGGAATCTTGGGAAAGAGAGCCACCTGGTGTTGCTTGCCTGCCTCGTGAGGAAACTGTCTTCCCCGCCGGGTTGAGGCTCCTGAGCTTTGTTTTAGGGGGCACTTCCTTAGAATAAAGAGCATAACTGGTGATAATGGGTGAGGTAGATTACCTAGGTTGAGAAGCACTTCAAAATATAGGACCTAACTTTTGCAGCAACATGGATGCAGCTGGAGGCCATTATCCCAAGCAAAGTAATGCAGGAACAGAAAGCCAAATACTGCATGTTCTCACTTATAAGTGGCAGCTAAACATCAGGTACTCATAGATGAAAAGTGGCAACAATAGAAACTGAGGACTATTAGTGTAGGGAGGGAAGGGGGGTAAGTGTTGAAAAACTACCTATTGGGTTCTGTGCTCAGTACCTAGGTGACAGGATCATTTGTACCCTGAAACCTCAGCATCATGCAATATACCCAGGTATAATAAACCTGTACATGTACCCCCTAAGTCTAAAATAAAGGTTGGAAAAAATCTAATTTTGGACTTTTAATACAGGTTGAGCATCCATAATCCAAAAAATTCAAAATCTGAAATTCTGAAACTTTTTGAGCACCAACATGATGCCACAAGTGGAAAATTTCACACATGATCTCATGTGACAGGTCACAGTCAAAACACAGTCAAAACTTTGTTTCATGCTCAAAGTTATTAAAAATTTGTATAAAATTGCCTTCTGGCTATGTGTATAAGGTATACATGAAATATAAGTGAATTATGTATATGCAAATATTCCAAAATCCAAAACACTTCTGGTCCCAAGTATTTTGGACAAGGAATAGTCAACTTGTATTCCAAAACAAAACAAAACACAAAAACTAATACACAGGACCTAAGAGGGCTTGAGAGAGGATGAGAGGTTCCATTTATCCAACTTCCTAGGAGGAATTCAGAGGACACCCATAGGACCACAGCCCAGGGAGCCCTAGAAAAGATTTCAACCATTCACTGTAAACAAAGTTTGGGGCCCATGAAATGTATGACGATGAGAGATTACATGATACCATGGTCACTTTAATGGTTCAACCCTTATTCAGAGAGAGCACTCTTTCTGGCATGGGTTCAGCCCTCTGGACTGGACTGACTCCACAGTGAGTTTTGAGGCTTGGGAGAGAGCTGCAAGGAGGAAGAAGGAAGAGAAATAGGGGAGAGACATGGGGAGAGACAGTCATGCCTACTTCCTCAGCAGGCCAGAAGCAGCATGTGCAGGTGGGGACCCAGACTCTGTACTTGGACTTAAAGTGAAAGGCTTTCCAGATATTGTACTTACCCCTAAGGCTGACAAAGGTGGAGCCTCAAGCCTATAGCTTTGGATCAAGACAATTGTTCCAGTTCTCCTATCCCAGAAATGTTCCTCTCTCCTAAACCTGAAGTGGTCGAACACTTTCATCCCTTCCTCACAAGGAGGGTCAGGTGATCAGGTAAAGGTAACAACTAACCCAAACAGGAAGTGTGGCCAGATGCTTGTATACAGGTAAGGGTGTGATTTGGTTGCTAATTTCTCTTCACTTCTGGGAGACCAGCCCCTTATAAATCAAACTATAGGCCAGAGAGGCTGCCACATGCTCCCAGGCTGTTTATTTGAAGAGAGACTTACATTAGGCAGTGACTCGATGAAGGCATGTATGTTGGCCTCCTTTGCTGCCCTCACAATCTCTTCCTGTGACACCACCCGGCTGTTGTCTCCATAGGCAATGTTCTCAGCAATGCTGCAGTCAAACAGGATGGGCTCCTGGGACACGATGCCCAGGTGTGCTCGGAGCCACTGAACATTCAGTCGCTTTATTTCTTTGCCATCAAGCAGCTGAAAACAAGAGTTCACAGATCAACTTCAGGACCAGCACACTTTGAATGTAGCACAATTAACATCATTATTTCTTACACTGAAACTGCCAAGTTACTGTGAGATTAAGGAAAAGTTTGTGTGATTAAAATTTGGATAGTGAAGGTTAACCCAACAAGGTCATAATTGTATGCCTTGAGGAACTGTCATGTTTCCTGTGTTTCAACCATGGTTTCTGATGTATGCATGTGGTAGGCAGAATAATGTTCCCTCTCCCACAAGACATCTGTGTCCTAATCCCTGGATCCTGTGAATGTGTTATGTTACATGGCAAAAAGAAACTAAAGTAGTAGATGTAAGGTTGCTAATCAGCTGACTGTAAAATAAGATTATCCTGAATTATCTTGGTGAAACTAATGTAATCATAAGGGCTCTTAACTGAAGAAGAAGGAGGGAGAAGAGTATCAGCAAATGCAGTGTGAGAAAGACTCAACCAGCCACTGCTGGTTTTGAAAATGGAGGAAGGGGCCACAAGCAAGAAAACAGATCATCCTTTGGAGCCTCTAGAAGGAACACAGCCCTCCTGACACTTGATATGAGCCCACTGAGACCTATTTTAGACTTCTGACCTCCAGAAGTGTAAAGTCATAAATTGGTGTTGTTTTAAGCCACTGAATTTGTGGCAAGTGGTTATAGCAGCCACACTAATACAACGCCTAATACTTCTGAGATGTATCCTGACAGCCTTATTCTTAAATCTCCATTTTTCAGAGAAACAGTGCCCAGGATTAGCATGGAAATAAATAACAACTATGACCACATAATAGCTTTGCAGGTCAGGAACTACAGGGGATGGATAGGTGAACAGGGGTAGGAAAGGGTGAATGGAGATCCTCAATACTGAGCCAGATGAGTAGGAACAGAGGGCTGCCCTTTCTCTATAATCTGGCTCCCTGGATTATCCTGCAGAAGACTGGGGAGGGCACCTTACAGCCTTGCTGATAACAAGCCCTACTCTGATGCAAATATGTCTATCAGATAGGTCTGCTTTGCAAGATAATTTTCTGGCATTCAAGTGAGAGAGCTGTTCATCCCTTCTGAAGAAGGCACCAGTGACTCAGCTTTGAGCTTTTCTAATAGTAGTGACTAGTGCGTGCTGAGCCATATACTCTCTGTATCCCATGTGCCTGGCTGGGTGGCTCAAGGGGACAGCTGCCTAGCAGTAGAGTACAATCTTTGCTACAGGAACATGGCTTCTGCTTGTGACACTGGCAGGTGCAGGGATGGAAGCTCTCCCATAACCTTATTAGTTCCAAGCTGAGTTGCCATGGAGACTATTCCACACATGTATGCTCCAGGCTTCCTTACAATGTTAATAAATGAAGGTGGAAAGTAGAGGGTGGAGAGAGACAGTGAAAGCCAAACAAGGATGTGGCTAAGCAGCAGATCTTGTTAGATAAAACACTGTACTTGAGAAGTGGAAATTTAAGGAAAGGAGGAGTTTGGTTTTTGCTTTTGTTTTTGTTGTAATTTTCCAGGTTTATACCCCTGGGAGGAAAACAGACACTGCCTAACTAATATAATCACAGGCAAATCTGAATGATCTCAGCAAGTTATAATGAGTTTCTTCATTACACTGAATACACTCTTGGGCCTCCTCGTCCCCGCATAATACCCTAGAATTGCAAACTATTTAAAACCTGTGTTGACTGAAGAATTCTTTCTTTAAGTAAAACAAGTTTAGATGCCTAGAATGTAAAACAGATCAAAGAAGCAGAGCTTCTTTGGCTGAGGAATGGTGTTGGTCTGAGGAAAGACCAAGGAACTCTGGGGAATCTATGAGAAGTGCTCAAAAAATCCTGGCCTAAATAAAAATATAACTAGGAAAGTAAACCTATTGGTAAGAAATAATGAAAGGCCAGATTAAAATGATTGGCTATCTCTATTGTAGACTGTTAAGTCTATTGCTTGCTTTCATTAGCGCAAAAATGTAAATGTTAAATGTGTATTCTTCTATGCATATTTACTGTGAAATAATAATTGATTTTTAAAAATCAAGCACTGACAACGTTGTAGGTTCTGTGATAAGCATGTCTCATACAGTCTCTTGTTTAACCTTCATAGCAACACTTATAAGGTCACTGTGATGTTAATTCCCATTTTACTGATAAGGAAATGAGCAAAGTTAAGTAACTTATACAAGGTCACACAATTAGTAATTGGGGGAAAACCAAGACTGGATCTAAACACTCTAGGTTGGGTTTTGGTAACACTAATACCTCACAACTGAAAGATATTTTGTGTCCCCCCTTGAAAGGGGAATGCCCCCATCTTGGCTCAGGCACTTCTTGGGTTATAACCAGACAATGACAAGCAGCTTCTAATTGTATCCCAAAGGGGGTTCTGACTGTTGTATATGGGAGAGACTGGAAAGGGGAGAAAGGAAAGGTAAGGGGAAGACTCAAAGCAGGGGTGATTTAACAGTGACACTGATGAAGGTTAAGCTTCAAGAGCCCTCAATTACATGTAAATTCTGGGAAGTCGAACAGTTTTCTGGGTGGGAGGGAGGCAAGGCTGTAGTCAGGAAGCTCTTCCCTGTAAGTATTGATGATAAATTACCTAAAAATGAAAAGGGACCAGAATCTTTAAGCTTCCAGTATTTGGTTATGATTTTTTTTTCATTTGAAGTAAATATCCACCTTTGTATCTAATTTTGCATTAAAAAAAAAATTTTTTTTTTTTACTTTAAGTTGAATCCCTACAATTGTATAACCTTCAGGTCCCTCAAAACTTGGAGGATCCTCCCATCTTCACAATTTCATAGCTTAATTATTCAAGACTCTCCACAATTTAACCTAAATCTTTCTTCAAATTTACCAGTTCAGTGGCTCTCGAATGATGGTTGGCATCAGAATCACCTCGGAATATTATAAAAATAAAAGGCCAAACCCTAGCCTACTTGAATAATCCAGGCCGGCTGTGTTTTTTACTAGCTCTTGAGGCCATTCTAATATTCACCGAAGCTTTAGAACCACCATTTCAGGTCAATGTTTTTCAACATGGGATTCAAGGTCCACTGATGGTCACGAGAATTTCCTGACTTCAGGGGGTCCTTAGGGTCCAATCCTTTCTTTAATTCTTATGCTCAAATCCACAGACTCATTTTTACATGGCAATAAAAACTAATTAGTAGTAATCCACTGAGTTATTCAGGGCTACTCATTGATGTCCATAAACAAAACTTTGTACATTTACTAGAGTTTATTGTGGACACTTTCTGCTGAGAAGTCTGGCTGCAGTGCACCATCTGGCAGTATTTCCAAGCCCTAGTGCAAATGCACAGGAGAAGATAATGGATATTCCTGCAATAAATGAGGACACTTTGTTTTCAGTGCATTATCAATAATGTCTTGGGATGCTTACTGTCCTATGCACTCAGCATTCATTTTCATATACTTCTGTGTCTGACCTTTTATACATCAAGGGACTAGAAGGCTAAAAACTATTTCCCAGTTTCCCTTGGTTCTGGAAGTAAGTCAGGGTCTACGAGGGAGATGCACAGTGTAAAATCTGGGAGGTAGACACCAGCTCTCCTTCAGCAGCTGTGGTAAGCTAACGGCTTAACTCATCTTTGGCAGACAAGAATTTCTGCAACAGCCAGATTCTAGTCTCGTGTCTTTAAATTTGGAACAGCTGTGATATCGGCATAATTTTCTGCAGCTTCTTGGTTACAGAATCACAGCTGCAGTGCTGTGATTTGGAAGTCTGGGAGCAAATAGCCTCCTTTCACTCTTCCAGCCCTTCCAAAGATTTTGTAAGCATGTAATTCCCTTTATTAAATACTTATCTACTTGAAATACCTAGGGCAGTTTCTGTTTCCTACTCTGAACTGTAACTGATGCTGTCCATGTTTTATTATGTTCTGCTTGTGTTTATATACTTGCAGAATAATCATTAATTATTCCTTATTGTATCATTATTGTGCTGTATTGTATTGTTGTTTTCAACTCCAACATTTTGTTATCACCAAGTGTTTTTCCCACTGGAAAGTGACTATGAGTACATTAGTGGATGGTGACATCTTTAAATCTTTCCTACATGAGTTCTCATCAGAGAAGTTTGAGAACCACTACTCAAACTAAACTCCCATTTCAGCCAAAGTGTCCTATTTGCTGCATTGGGAACAAATCACTGATCGCAGCTTGTATTTTCTCTTACATTGAATGTCATCCCTACTGTTCACCCATATGCAAATCCTTATCTCTTAAGAACTAGCTCTAGGCCTATCTCCTTTAACTCACAAAACTATATGCCCCATCTCCTCAGTTAAAGTATTTGAGGGCAGATATCATGCCCTACAATTCATTATAGCACAATCTTTAACACACCACTTAATAACTGTCTGTTGAGGGCCATAATCAGTGTCTGAGAGCTAACATTTCCTCCTCTAATTGCTTTGGCTGTCAGCGACGTCTTTATTTAGAGTCCTGTTTTTAAGTTCACCACAAAATTGAAGGACACAATCAGAGTTCACAGAAAATATAAAGCAAGAGAGTAAAAGTAGGGAACAAGCTTGTAATGATTTAAGAGTAAACTGAATAAAGGCATAACTGTCTTTGAATACAATAACAAACATTTATGAGTAAGAGTGACCGCTGTGAGGAAGTAAAAAGAGTCCTAGACTAAAGATTGAAAACTCTCTTTTCATTTGAGTCATTAAATGCTACCAGCGTCCATACACAGCGGGTGGGCATCCATCTGACTTGTACTAGCAGGCATCCATTCTGATTGGTCAGTGTCCATGCTGTTCCCATTGTTAAGAATTTTAAATATCACTTCTCAGTACAACTAATTACATGCCTACATAATGAAAATGTCTTGCTCTTAATTCTATTCCTTCCTAGTTTGTCTTCTTTCCTATCCCCCATCATAGTCGTTTAAACTCACTACTCCCTGCCAGACACTTCCCTCATCCCCAGCAACTAAGACAAAAGGGCATACTTCCATGTTCTTTTTACATTTCCCAAATTTGTTGATTCTACTTTTTTTTCCTCAGATGATGTTTCAATGCCCTCTCTCCATCAATGATTTTGTCTCATCCCCAGTCATAAAAATGCTCAAGAGTTCAACCCCTAAACATTTTCCCTGGACTCTGCCTCCCCACTCAAGTGCTGTCCTTATTTGCCTTTCTTTTACTTTCCATCTTCTTGATAATCTATGCTCACTTACATCTCCATTTCTTCCCCTAATCATACTTCAGCCACCCTTAACTGTTTCCTACCATCACTACTTCACTAAGAATATTTTAAAATGTCAGAAATAGCCCATTCATTGCTAGATTCTATCATGTCTTCTCAGTCTCCTCCTTACCCAATCTCTCTATACCATCTGTCATTGCTGACCACCATCTTTGAAACAGTCTCCATCCTTGGCTTTCATCTCACTCCTAGCACCTGTCCTGTATCTTTCTGGCTACTTCCATTTTTGTTGGTTCTTTTCAAGTCAGCTGAAACCTAAGTACAGCAAGGGAGACAGGTGGTACAAAGGGTGCTTGCAAAGGAGGGTAGAGGGGTAGTGTTGAGGGGAGCCTGGAGAAGTTGGCTGGGACAGATGACACCACTTGGAGACCATATTTAGGCTCTCAGACTTTATCCAAGTGGGACTGTTGTTTAAAGGTTTGAAAAAACATGGCTTATAGTTGAGAATTAAATACATTCAGACATTTGGATGATGAAAACCTGAACTGAGCTAAATGTGAAAGTGTGCTCACCACTTTCCCTGCCAAGGGGTCGTAGAACCGCTCCAGGAGCTGGACCACTGTGCTCTTCCCACAGCCACTGCTGCCCACCAGAGCCAGCGTCTGGCCCTTCTTCACCTCCAGGCTCAGTCCCTGAAGCACTGGGATGTCCGGTCGGGTGGGATAGTTGAATACAACTTCACCAAATGTGACATTTCCTTCCAATGTGTTCTGCAATGAGAAGAATAACAGTAAATTTGAATGCTGCAATACTGAAAATAAAGTGTATAGCTAACTCTCTCGATTACCAGGTGTCAGAAGATAATTAATTTGTGTTACAATTGGCTTCACTTCAAACTGCTAGAATTTATTTTATTTTAATTTTATTATTTATTTATTTTTTATTTTTTTGAGACAGAGTCTCACTCTGTCACCCAGGCTGGAGTGCAGTGGCATGATCTCAGCTCACTGCAACCTCCACCCCCCAGGTTCAAGCAATTCTCGTACCTCAGCCTCCCAAGTAGCTGGGATTACAGGCGTGTGCCACCACACCCAGCTAATCTTTTTTTTTTTATTTTTATTTGAGATGGAGTTTCACCATATTGGCCAAGCTGGTCTCGAACTCCTGACCTCACGTGATCCACCCACCTTGGCCTCCCAAAGTGCTGGGATTACAGGCATGAGCCACTGTGCTTGACCTCAGACTGCTAGAATTTAATAAATGAGATCTAAAAGAGTAAAAGCTTTCATAGCATGTATTGTTAAGACAATATGAATATGCAATACAGCTACAATAACTCAAATCTGTTCCTCAGGAATACAGTAACTTACATACAATAAAATCTGATAACCAGCCTGGGCAACATAACGAGACCCTGTCTCTACAAATAATTAAAAAATTAGCTGGGCATGATGGCACACGCTTGTAGTCCCAGTTACTTGGGAGGCTGAGGCAGGAGGATCGCTTGAGCCCAGAAGATCAAGGCTGCAGTGAGCTATGATCATACTGCTGCACTCCAGCCTGGATGACAGAGTAAGACTCTGTCTCTAAAAAAAAATTGTTTTTAAAAAATCTGATTAATAGGTTTTGCTTATAAAGTGAGCAGTATTCCTATTTCCCTATAACCTTTGCTACGTAAAAGTACTGAATGTTGATGTATATTATTAGCAGTAATTGAAAGGAATCTATGATCTAGGAAGTTTTATTTTATCATCAGCATATTTGAAAGTACAAATTTTATTAAGTTTCCACTTAAAATACTTTCATTCAGGAGTCAGGAGTAGATCAAACAGTTGAAACATCAAACTCACCGGCATTAGGCCTTCCGTGCTGTAGCTGTCAATCAAAGGGGTTTTTTCAATGATCATGATGATGTGGGCTGCTGATATTTTGGCTTTGGCATAGTCAGGAGCAAATGAACTGACTTGCCCCACGGCCATGGCACCAAAGACAACAGCTGAAAATACTCTGGAAAGCACAAACACAAAACATGTGCACAGCATTACCATCACAATGCTAGAAAGCTGACACTCCTTTTTTTTTTTTTTTTTTTTTTTGAGGTGGGGTCTTCCTGTGTTGCCCAGGCTGGAGTGCAGTAGTGCAATCAGAGCTCACTAAAGATATGATCTCCAGGGCTTAAGCGATCTTCCCACCTCAGCCTCTGTAGTAGCTGGGACTACAACTGTGCATGACCACACCAGCTAATTGTTTTATTTTTTGTAGAGATGGGGGTCTCCCTATATTGCCCAGGCTGGTCTCGAACTACCGGGCTGAAGTGAACCTCCTGCTTCAGCCTCCAAAAGTGCCGGGATTATAGGTGTGAGCCACCATGCCTGGCCAAAAGTTGACACTTCTATAACCAGAGAGCTTTGCCTCTAATAGTTATAAAACAGATGTTAAAAATAAAACAAACACATTTCCTTATAAGTTCATGTCTATGTGATAGATTGATTGCAAAATGGCCCATTTTTTTCCCTCTGTATACCTCTCTCTGTATCCTCATCTTCTTGCACTGTGACCTTTGCAGCACCCTTTGAATCTGGGCTGGCCTTGTGACTTGCTTTGGCCAACAGGATATGGTGGAAATCACTTTTGCCAGTTCCAAGCCTATGACTCAGGGGGCCTTATATGCTTTGTGAGCATGCATGCATGTGTTCTCTCTCTCTTTCTCTCTCTCTCTCTCAGAATTCTGCCACTGTCTCAAACCCAGGATAGCCTGCTGGAGGATGAGGCACACATGGAGGAGAGCTGTCTGAATCCCAACCAACCAGCTACAGACACAATCCACTACAGACACATGAGTAAGTCCAGCCGAGATCCACTATGCCTAATCCAGATCAGTAGAACTTCACAGCTAACCCATAGGTTTGTGGGCAAAAATATGTATGTCTCTGAGGTTTAGTGGCTGGTTGTTACACAGCATTATTGTGGTAATCAACAACGGATACAGTCAGTGATGTTGGAATTACATCAGATTCTTAAAAACCTATGAATTGTGCAACCAAAAGAAAGTTTCTTACAGAGCCAGATATCATGTTGCTCTTAAGATGCATTGACGTTCTTATCTATGACATGGGAATCACAGCAACTTAAAGTTGGGAAGGACCTTACAGGTATCAAGTCCAGCTCTCCATGTTCGTGCCTGGACACCTCCCCTAAATTGGCTTCCATCCTCTGTTTTAGGAAGTAGCATGTTTGATTGTCTATTGTTAAACAGTTCTTTTTCAAACTGAAGAAAAAATTTACTTCCTTTTACATAAGACAGGCCTACAAGTCTTGAAATATTGCTAAAAACTCCTTTGCTTCTTTGATAACTCCTTTCACTGCCCTTCTCTAGACACATTTATTAATATGCTTTTTTTAAACACAAGCCTGGAACAGACATAATACTTGGGAACCCGCCCAGAATACAGGGAATTCATCGCTTTCTTTCCTCTGGACTCTATGCCTATGTTTGTGTAGCATATTGTGTCATTAGTTTTTGTTTGTTTGTTTGTTTAACTAGCACTAAATAAAATACCGATAGTTAATCTTGGACTTGTGATCATTTAAACCTATGGGACCTTTTTCTAATGCACTGTTCTTCAGACAGGTCTTCCTTTTCCTTAACTTGGAAGGTTGATTTTGCAAACCTAAATGCCCCAATGTCAGCAACTTTCATCAATTCAATTTTTTGGAGTAAAGCAATATATCAAATAATTATCTAATCAAAGCCCCAATGCCAGTGATACTTGGTTTTGATCTCTAGGCCATAATCACAAATAGCACCTGCATATCATTTGTCCAATGTACATCTTTAATGGAAATTTAGATGTCTTTTTGGGGGTCATCCTGAGCAAACTGTAATGCATGAACAACTCAATGTTTAAAAAGGACAGAAATACTATACTAACACATTATACTGCCAGGCTTATATGATTCTGGTTTAAATATAAAATTATATCGCTACTAATTATGTTATGCTATCAAGAGGCAGAATCTTACCCACCTCCAAATCTAGAAGCTCAGAAAGATTACACATACTTTTGACCACCAAATTGCATATTTGGGTACTTTTGTAGTATAATTGCTTCAGGCTTATCTTCCTCTGACCGAGGTACAATTATCTACATTCAGAACAATGTAGCAGAAAAATCCCAATATAACTTTTCCTTTGTCATTTCTGAATTCATTTGGCTCTTACCTTCCAATTCCTCTCTTATCAAGGGAAAGTAAACATATCCTGGAATTGCCAAAGGCTTGCAGAACTTAGTACAACACATCTGTATTTTACTTGCTCTGTAAGAAAGTCCTTTAAAAGGAGCCAGTCAGACTCCTTGCTCAGGGCTAGGCTTCTTCCCAAATGCCAAGGCCTTCTCAAAATCTCCGAATGGAATCACTCCACTCAGTCACAGATTTGAAAAGGTCAACTATGTGTGAGCCAGCAATGAGGAAAGAAGTTACTGCTCCTCCAAATGAAAGGGGGTGCTTCAATGGTGGCACATGAAGACTCAGAGGCAGAAATGCCGATTTAGGAATCACCAGAATCTCTTCATGAGGCTTCACAGTAGGGTTTCCTATCTAGACATGAAGCATGTTCATCCCAGCTTTATTTTTAGAGCTTAACTAAATAATAGCCCAATACTTACAACAGAACATCCTCAAAGCTCATGAGTTTATGTGCCACCAAGTAGGCTCCAAACCGGAAACATCCAGCATAGGAAAAATACATCATTGCCTGGGTGAAGGAAAATGTAATTCCAAAGATGTGTGCTTTCCTCAAAGAGTTTCTGAAAAGAAGACATTTGAAAACTCATTCCACTTTCATTTCTCAGTCCTTAAAATGTAACTTTTGATAGGTTGGCAGTAGGGCACAGAGGCATGACCAACAAAAATGGGTTTCGTTTCCAAAGAACTAAGTTTGGTCCTCACTTTACACTTAACAGTTGTGCAAATTTGGGAAACTGCCTAACCTCTGAGACTCAGTGTCTTTATCTTTAATGTAGAATTAACTACACCTCAAAGTGTTGATGTAAAGAGAAAATAATCCAATGACTGTAAAGAGCCGGTTAGGGATCAATAAGTAAAAGTTATCTCCCTTTCTCCCCACTTTTGGACACACAGTATGGAAGTACTCTACGTAAATATTCATTCTGCACACAGTTACCCAACACCTACAAGGTGCAGGGGCCATGATGGGTTGACATAGAGGAAACAGGCATGTTCTTGACTTAGGAGACCTGACTTGAGTTGAATTACTATTTATGCATTAGAGGTGCCTTATGAATAATCTGTTATAGGAAGAAAGGAGAAGCACTAAATTCTTCGGGGGTCTCAGAGAAGGCTTTAAAAAGGGGTTGACATTCTAGAATCATGATATGGATCCAGCTCAGTGATATGGAGGTGTGGGTGGGGGCAGGTTAGCAAGTGGGCAGCCCTGGGCTTCCAACCCCTCCTGCTACCAGATCAACTCTGCTTTTACCTTCATCACATATGAAGATTTCAAATAATTTTTTTTTAGACAAAAAGGCTCTACCATCATTTTTTTTAAATAAAAGCTTAAAAATCCATCAATAAAGTCCAGCTTTCCTTTTATTATAAGAAACAGACTCAGAAAGGTTGGGCTTGCTTATGTTCACACCACTTATTAGAGCCCTCACTGGGATGACTGTATTAAAGGAAGAAGGTCTGCACTGGAGAAGGGGTAAAAAGCAGAAAGACAGGTAAACCCAGGAAGCACCATCCTCTCTGTGTCCCACAGGTACCTCAAATTTCAGGTTCCATAAATAACTCATTTTCAACTAGAGCAAATTATAGGGTCATATCCTACCTGGACATCAGATAGTCATTCTCAGCATCATGTCTCCCTCCCTTCTCATCAGTGACCCATTCTTACAGGTTCTACCTCAGAGATGTCCCTGCCTTAGTTCAGGGTCTTGTACTTTCTCTCCTGCATAATTACAACTGTTTCTCAATGGTTTACCTTCGAGCACTTTCTCCACTTGCTCCCTACCTTCTAGCCAAAGTAATCCCTCTGAAAACAAATATGATGATTGAAAAATTATTCACACTCTCCTCCCACTCTTCAGCGGTTATTACCTGTATGGTACCTGCAAACTCTGAGCATACATATGTTCAAACTTCTGCTCCTGAGTCAAAGAAACAACGGTTCGGAAGTTTTCTATTGCTTCAGTAGCGATCTGTAACAGACAGCACCGATCACCAAGAGGCACAAGAGTAAATAGTGGTGATTAATTTGAATTCTATAAAACAGACTAATGAAAATAATTTTATGATTACATATTTATTATTATGTATGAGCATTTTCTCTGTAGAAAAAGATACTAAGTAATTTATCAAACTGAGTTATGGATCTGGAAGGAAGATTGACTAATTCAAACTTCTCCTTTGCAGAAATAGAAGCTAAGACTTAAATGGATTATGGCATTGCTTAAAGCCACACAGCTTTACGTGGCTTCGCAAAATTAACCAGAGAACTCACAGTACTTCTATTGCAGTGCTCTTTCTTCTATGATGATCACATTTTAAGTTCACAGTTATTTTACACTTATTTTTAAAATGTGATGTTTATATTTTTCTCTTTATCATTGCCATTTGTGACAATTGAAGAATGTTTGGAAAATAGTGAAAGAATGCAGGCAATAAAAAGTAAATTTTAGATACATTCAAAGGCTTACTCCTCTCTGCCTGTGGACGCTTACCCCTTTCTGCCCGTGGACGCCACCAAGGAAGCATCCTTAAAGTCTCTCTTTCCCCTGCCGTCATGTCTAAGTCAGAGTCTCCTAATGAGCCCAAACAGCTGAGGAAATTCTTCATTGGAGGTTGAGCTCTACATTGGTTGACCAATGAGAGCCTGAGGAGCCATTTTGAGCAATGGGGAATGCTCATGGATTGCGTGGTAATGAGAGATCCAAATACCAAGCGCTCAAGGGACTTTGGGTTTGTCACATATGCCACTGTGGAGGAGGTGGATGCAGCCATGAATGCAAGGCCATACAAGGTGGATGGAAGAGTTGTGGAACCAAAGAGAGCTGTCTCAAGAGAAGATTCTCAAAGACCAGATGCCCACCCAACTGTGAAAAAGATATTTGTTGGTGGCATTAAAGACACTGAAGAACATCACCTAGGAGATTATTTTGAATAGTATGGAAAAATTGAAGTGATTGAAATCATGACTGACCAAGGCAGTGATAAGAAAAGGGGCTTTGCTTTAGTAACTTTTGACGACCATGACTCCATGGGTAAGACTGTCACTGAGAAATACCCATACTGTGAATGGCCACACTTGTGAAGTTAGGAAAGCCCTGTCAAAGCAAGAGATGGTGAGTGCTTCATCCAGCCAAAGAGGCAAAGCAGCTCTGGGAACTTTGGTGGTGGTCGTGGAGGTAGTTTCGGTGGGAATGACAACTTTGGTCGTGGAGGAAACTTCAGTGGTCATTGTGGCTTTGGTGGCAGCTGTGGTGGTGGTGGATATAGTGGCAGTGGGGATGGCTATAATGGATTTGGTAATCATGGAAGCAATTTTGGAGGTGGTGTAATGATTTTGGCAATTACAACAATTAGTTTTACATTTTGGACCCATGAAGGGAGGAAACTTTGGAGGCAGAAGCTCTGGCCCCTATGCTGGTACAGGCCAGTACTTTGCCAAACCATGAAACCAAGGTGGCTATGGCAGTTCCAGTAGCAGCAGTAGCTACAGCAGTGGCAGAAGATTTTAAATTACTGCCAGGAAACAAATCTTAGCAGGAGATAAGAGCCAGAGAAGTGACAGGGAAGCTACAGTTTACAACAGATTTGTGAACTCAGACAAGCACAGTGGTGGCAGGGCCTAAGTGCTACAAGAAGACATGTTTTAGACAAATACTCATGTGTATGGGTAAAAAACTCGAGGACTATATTTGTGACTAATTGTGTAACAGATTCTTTTAGTTTCTGTTCTGTGGAAAGTGTAAAGCATTACAACAAAGGGTTTTAATGTAGATTTTTTTTGGCACCCATACTGTTGATTGTTAAATGTAATAGTCTGATCATAATGCTGAATAAATGTGTCCTTTTTTTTAAAAAAAAAGTATATTTTACACATTTCCATATTGTTTTTTTCCTAAGTGCATAAATATATTTAAAAAGATTGGAATGAAACTCTATATTTAGCTCTATATCATTATTTTTACCTTCATATCAAAAGCATTTTCCAAGTTCATTAAATACACATTAATAATGAGATGTGTAATGAGTCCTTTAATATCATAACCAATTAAGTATTCCTTTATTGTTGAGCCAGGTTTTCAATTCCTTTTTTATTAAAAATAGTGGTGAGATAAACATCTTTGTACCTAAACATTTGTCCATATTGAATTGGTTTATTAGGAAAATTTCTTAAGGTGAAATTAATAAGTCAAAGAAAACTAACTTTTTTTTTTAGAAACGGGGTCTTGCTCTGTTGCCCAGGCTGCAGTGCAGTGGCAATTCACAGGTGTGATCATCATAGCTCACTGCAGCCTCACACACCTGGGTAAGCAATCCTCCTGCCTCAGTCTGCCAAGTAGCTAAGACTACAAGCACATGGCACTACACCTGGCTTGAATTAATTTTTTTAATTTTTTAAGGAATGTGGCACATACTATCAATCTGTTTTCCAGAAAGTTTTGGGCTGGGTATGGTGGCTCATGCCTGTAATCCCAGCAGTTTGGGAGATGGAGGCAGGTGGATCATTTGAAGTAAGGAGTTTGAGACCAGCCACCATCAACATGGTGAAACCCCATCTCTACTAAAAATACAAAAATTAGCTGGGCATGGTGGCACATGCCTTAATCCCATGCTACTGGGAGGCAGAGGAAGCGCTCGAACTGGCGAGACAGAGATTGCAGTGAGTCAAGATGGCGTCACTGCACTCTAGCCTGGGCAACAGAGTGAGACTCCATCTTAAAAAGAAAGTTTCCATCATTCAATTATGTTGTAATCAAATGTTACTTCCAACAAGGCAATCTGATTAGGAAACATACATCCTTCATCACCTCTGGAGTCTGAGTAAAGGGATATGGAAAAAGCAAAGAACACCAGTGTACAAGATGAGATTTCAGCCTACATCAGCCGCACCACCTTGAACCAACATGCTGTCTCATTTTCCTCATTTGCAAAATGAGGACGATGGACTAGAGGGTCTCTAAAGTCCCTTTTAATGCTATGATTTTAAGAGAAATAACTTCCAGAATTATAAGTCACCAAGAGAAATGACTCTTTATTGTTTAAGATGTTCTTCCTCTCTTTGGCCTCTGCACTGGTCAGAACAGATTCTAATAAAGACACATTTAATTTAGAGTGTTTTATAGCTTAAAATCATAAACATGGAATTCCACTTATTCTTCACTGAATCTTACATAAATTACCTAACTTCAAACATAACAGCAAGCATTTCATAAGACATTAAGTCAGTTTTGAAGACTAATATCAAAATCTATCAGAAGTAAAAAAAAAAATTAGTAACATTCTTAGAAACAAAAACTTATTTAAAAATAAAATTTAAAATATTATTCTTACACTGACAGGCCAAGAAGATTGAATTATGTTTACCACAAGATACTTAGAAAATTAGGAAAATGGCAGGTTTATTTTAAAATATTGTATAAACTTCTTTTACACATTATAAAAATGATATATAGTCACTTTAGAAAATCGTAAAAGTGCAGAAAGCAAAAGGTGAGGAGAAAAAATTCACCTTCAAATTCCCAAAGACAATCCTTTTGTCAGACACATTAGAACCATCATTCTCAGCAAACTATCGCAAGGACAAAAAACCAAACACCGTATGTTCTCACTCATAGGTGGGAACTGAACAATGAGAACACATGGACACAGGAAGCGGAACATCACACACTGGGGCCTGTTGTGGGGTAGAGGGAAGGGGGGAGGGATAGCATTAGGAGATATACCTAATGTTAAATGACGAGTTGGTGGGTACAGCACACCAACATGGCACATGTATACATATGTAACTAACCTGCACGTTGTGTACATGTATCCTAAAACTTAAAGTATAATAAAAATAAAAAAATAAAATAAAAGCTGAAGTTTCACAAGCAAAAAAAAAAAGAAATATTTCTAATTATCAGAATTCTAACAAACAGGTTTTCTAGATTAGTAAGAAAATTCAACAGACTATAACAATGTCTGCTGAAAAACAGATTTTACTGTATATTTCAGTGTAATGGTTTTAAGAAATATTTTCTGTGCACCATGTTCTAAGGCAGGAGTGTCTGGTCTGAGATTGGTTTGTAAATGTCATTGCTTTTTAGTGTGTATATAGCCGAATAAAAGTGGGAGTTTGAGTCACAGACCTAAAAGTGGTGAGTAAAACAGTATAATAACTTCAGGACTGTCTTCATCTTGACGCACAATGAAGCAATTAGGAAAAGGCTTAATTAGCACCCCGCATCCTCACAGCTTTGTTTATTCCAAGAGTTTTAAATGGAGACTCAGTAATCACCATCAGGAGAGAGAATTTCTAATCCAAGAACAAATAGCATCGAGTTTCCCTCGGAAACTGTTGTGTACTAAATAATTTTGAAGAAATAAAAATGTATGTTTCTAGAAAGAAAAAATAGCCTCCTGACATTACTCTTCCTACCCTCAAATAAACAAGTTTATGGCTTTTATTTCTGAAAAGTAAAAAAGCATCTACAATGGAGCCTTGGACAACATGGGGGTTAGGGAGACTGACCCCTCGTGCAGTTGAAAATTCACATATAACTTCTGACTCCCCAGAAACTTAACTACTAATAGCCTGCTGTCAACCAGAAGTCTTACCAATAACATAAACAGTCAATTAACATGTATTTTGTATGTTATATGTAATACATATTTGTATTTTTATAATAAAGTAAGCTAGAGGGAAGAAAATGTTATTAAGAAAATCACAAGGAAGAGAAAATATATTTACTATTCATTAAGCGGAAGTGGATCATTTAAAGGTCTTTATCTTCATCATCTTTATATTGAATAGGCTAAGGAAAAGGAGGAAGAAGAGGGATTGGTCTTGCTGTCTCAGGGGTGGCAGAGGGGAAGAGGCAGAGGAAGTGGAAGGGGAGGCGGGAAAGGCAGGCACACCTGGTGTGACTGACATGCATTGTGGTCTCTGTCTGACTTTTTCCTTTTTTATTTCTCTAAAAATGTTTCAATATGGTACCAATCCTTCCTCCACTGTTTGCTTCAGTTTCAGTGCCTGTATCACAGAAGGGTCCATGTCATAAAAGAAGTTAAAAGCAGTCCTGAATAACCGAAACTCTTTTGCCAGATTGCGTAAAGTTAGTTTTCTGGCACTGCTTCTCCTATATCTTCTTCCGCATTGTTTGGCAGTGGTTTGGAAACACTCATCTTTATCAAGTCATCTTCTGTTAATTCCTCTGGTGTGATGTTTATTTGCTCTTGAGGTTCTCCAAAATCTATACCTTGAAAGCCTTCACCCACCACCTTTTTTTTTTTTTCATATCTCCTATTTCTTTTTGTGGTTTCCTTGATTGGCTCTGTCATAAATCCTGTGAAATCATGTACATCTGGACACAGTTTTCTCCAGCAGAAATTTATCGTTTTAGGATTACAGACTTGCATGATGTTCTTCTCTCTGGTGGCTCTCTACCATAGCATTAACAATCCTTTCTGTAGAGTACCATGTGCTTTGTGATGAGCCTTAAAAATCCTTATGAGTGGCGAGGCACAGTGGCTCCCACCTGTAATCCTAGCACTTTGGGAGACTAAGGCAGGAGGATCGCTTGAGCTCAGGAGTTCGAGACCAGCCCAGGCAACACAGTGAGACCTCATGTCTACAAAAAATTTATTAAAAAAAAAAAGATTCTTATAACCCCCTCATCTAAAGGCTGAATTAGAGACATGTTTAGGAGGCAAGCAGACCACTTCAATACCTTTGATGTTAAACTCATGGGTTCTGGGTGGCCAGGAGCATTGTCTAATATCAAAAGAACTTTAAAAGGCAGTCCGTTACTGTCTAAGTACTTTCTGACTTCAAGAACAAAGAAAGCATCAATGTAACCAATCCGGAAAAAGTGCTCTCATTGTCCATGCCTTCTTGTTGTACAACCAAAATACTGGCAGCTGAGGCTTATCTTTTCCCTTCAAGGATCAGGGATGAACAGCTTTACACATAAGAGCATATCTATAGATATGGACTCATCCTAAACCGGATTGCATTTATACAAAACAGTAGAGTTAGCCTACTCCTTTCTGACATAAATCCTTGGACTTGCTTCTCTTCCTTATTAATAAAAGTCCTTTGTGGCATTTTTTTTTTCTAAAATAGGGCACTTTCGACTGCATTAAAAACCTTTTCAGGCAGATATCCTTTCTTCTCAATGATTTTTTTTAATAGCATCTAGGAACATTTCTGCTGCCTCTTGATTGGCAGAAGCTCCTTCTCCTGCTATCTTGACATTTTTTTAAAGCCAAATATCTTTCTAAAATTATCAAACCATCCTTTGCTGGCATTAAATGACCCAGCTCTGATCCTTAATCTTACTTTTAATTTGAATTGACTTTGCTTTTCCTCTAATCATATTAGAGTCTATAGGTATGCCTTTCTCACAGCAATCCTGCACCCATGTGAAAGCTGCATTTTCAATATGAGATAAATGTATTGTACAAAAAGTGCAAGGTTTTTGCACCTGCTGTTGTAGCTGCAGTGATGGCTTTTACGAATTTTGTTTTTGTTTTGTTTTGTTTTCTTTTACAATGGTTCTTATGCTAGATTCATTTATCTTGAAATGGCAGGCAACTAACTGCAGCTGCAGACCTCACATCTATAGTATGTATCAAGCAGTTCAACTTTTTCCTGTAATGTCATGACTTTTCTCTGCTTGTTGGGAGCACTTCCAGCAACACTAGTGTCACTTGATATGGGTTCCCTGGTGTTATTTAATGTTTATGGTATTGCACTAAACATGATTTTTAAAATACGCAAGAATCATGAGAGATCACTTTTTATTGCAATATGCAATTTACTGGAGAGATGAACTGCTCCTGCTGAGATTGTTAGTGTCACTGCATTTTAAGCAGGTACAACACTTGAACTCACTGCAGTAGCAACAGGAAGTGGCTACAAAATTACTGGGGTAGTACAGTACATACTATGGTTTTATTTTATGATTTAACACTATGTATTAGTCTGTTCTCATGCTGCTAATAAAGACATGCCCAAGATTGGGTAATTTATAAAGGAAAGAGGTTTAATGGACTCACAGTTCCACATAGCTGGGGAGGCCTCACAATCATGGCGGAAGATGAAGGAAGAGCAGAGGGACATCTCACATGGCAGCAGGCAAGACAGCATATGCAGGGGAACTCCCCTTTATAAAATCATCAGATCTCATGAGACTTATTCACTATCATGAGAATAGCATGGGAAAAACCCACTCCCAGGATTCATTTACCTCCCACTGGGACCCTCCCATAACATGTGAAGATTATTACCATTCAAGGTGAGATTTGGATGAGGACACAGAGCCAAAACATGTAACACTGTATCTTTACAGTTGTTGACATGTGTCTTGACTGTGAATGGTGACTTATATGGTCTGTAAGTGTTTGTGTGCATAAAATTTGATCACTTTTAACTTTTTTTAATTATAGGTTTGTGTATATCTTATGGTAGTAAATAATAAGACGAGTAACTACATATATTTTATGCATTTATAACATACTTAACTTTTTCTTAATTTTTTGATATTTCTAGGCTACATGGCTTGTGAGTTTTTTCAAATTGTTGCAAGTCTTCAAAAAATTTTCCAATACATTTATTGAAAAAAACCTACATATAAGTGGACCCACTCAGTTCAAACCCGTGCTGTTCAAGGGTCACCTGTATTTTATAAAAATGCTCACTAGTCCACAATAATGTGCTGAAAAACTGCAGAGCACAGATCACAGGCAGGGTAGAGGTTATGAGCAGGTTTTGACATCATGCAGTCAGAATAAGTGTGGGCTCTAATGTCACATACACCATTAATCAATAAACAAATGGTACACCATTAACCAATAAACAAAGAAATAGGAAAGAAACATCAAGGGCTGCGAAGTATCATGAATTAATTCAGGTGTCAGGAATGGCCTCTCTGAAGAGGTAATAATTTTGGGATATGAATAACGTAAAGTCAGCCAAGAGAAGAGCAGAGGCAATCAGCTTAAAACATTCCAGGAATTGCAAGAATGCCCACTGGGCCAGGGCACACAGGCATAAGAGACTGTGATGCCAGATAAGGCCATAAAGGTCATCAGGAGTTAGATCATACAGAGTTTGGTAATCCATGATAAAAGATTAGATTTTGTTCCAAGTATGATCAGAAGCCATTTGGGAGTTTTAAGTAAGGGTTGGCATTATTAGATTTTTATTTATGAGAGGTCAGAATGACTTCTGTAAGAATGTAGACTATAGTTGGATAAGAATGGAAGAAGTTGAAGCAGGGAGATTGGTTAGGAGGCTGTTGCTGTGTGACTGTGAGCAAGTTACTTGATCTCTCTGAATCTTGGGTTTCATTATCTATCCAACAGGGATAATTCAACAGGGTTATTGACAGCATTAAATTAGATCAAGTATTTAGAGCTGTTAGAATGATACTTGTTATATAAGAAGTACTAAATAGCAGCTTGAGAAGTGTGTTCAGGTGGAAGTTGATTTTCAATATTATGTGGACTGGTTGGTGCAGATCCACTACTTTCCCTACCTACTTCTGTCCCTCTCATGAGCCACCCCTGAATTAGAAAATGTATCACATCCCTGACCTTTGCTCAGAAAATCTGCCATATCCACACATAATTCATTTCCATCTGCTCCCCTTCCTTTGGCCCCTCTGACAGAACTCCAAGAGTCTTAAATCTCATGTGTCACTTCAAAGGTGCTAACCTGTGGTTTGCATGAATTAGCTTAGGATCAGATTGTATCATCTTCTTCCTAAAAGCAATCTAAGACTCCCTTCTGGGACATTTCAAATACCTCATTAAATAATGACACTGTTAACTAGAATGCTTTCTCCTTTTTTTATATTTTGTCCTAGATTTTTCCATCTTCTCAGGGGAAGAGTCAACACCATGGGGGAGACCCCCAAAGTACAATATTAAAGGAAGTCATTGGCACAGAATGTATTCCCTGGCAGGGGCCAACGTTACTTGAGCCAGACCACAATAGAACCCTGTGGGTCAGCACCATCCTGATGTACCTCCAGAAATAGGCCTCCGGGAGCCTGATAGGATGCCTCGCATGAGGTTTGTCCCCTACAGACACTGGCTGGGGAGGTACTACAGCTGGCCCAAAAGATTTTCCAGAGGGAACCCCCCAAAAATGGGATAAAGAGTCTGAAGAGATAGCAGAGAGGTAAAGGACAAAGCATTAGTGGCAATGACCAACATCTGGGGCCTTCTTCATCATTCACTTGGTGAGGTAGCTGGGCCTACTGACAACCAGAGCCACTCTGATCTGTGTGAGTCCCTGCCCTAACTCCTGGGAATCTCAGAATGTTCATCACACATATATCCCTGTCCTAAATGTTAGTTATGGCAGTCAGCCCTGCTCTGACCTCTCATTTCCACTATGATACAGATCATGTGATATCAGACTGCATTCTGCCATCAGAGGAACTCTTTGTTTTATAACAGAAAGAGAAACAACTTTGGAGCACAACTGTCTGAGCTTGAATCCCAGCTCCAAGACCTATCAGCTCTAAAGTCCAGAGCCATGACCTGCCTGTGCCTCAGCCCCACTAGAAAAATGAGATAATAGACCCCATATGGTTGCTATAAGGAATAAGACATTTGCCTGGAAACACAGTAAATGCCACATAAGCATTTGTTAAATAATGGGAAAAAAAAGACAAGTATGCAGGGGAAAAAAAAGAAGTAAAAAAAGGGTAAAGATAAACAGAAATAGGATGAAGGGAGGAGCATGATAAAAAAAAAGAAAGAGTGGTAGTAATTTAAAACAGATATAATAAATACCCCTAGCATTTTTCCATATTTAATCTCCCCCCTCACATGTACAAATAAAATGGGCTTACTTTCCTCAATAAAGGAATGGATTTAAGCTTGAAAGAAAAGAAAGAAAGCAAGAAAGCAAGAAAGCAAGAAAGCAAGAAAGCAAGAAAGCAAGAAAGAAAGAAAGAAAGAAAGAAAGAAAGAAAGAAAAGAAAGAAAAAGAAAAGAAGGAAGAAGGGAAGGAAGGAAAAAAGGAAAGAAAAGAAGGAAAGAAGGAAGGAAGGAAAGAAGGAAGGAAGGAGTGGAGAGAGAGTGAAAGTGAGAGAAAAGAAAGAAGAAAATAACTAAGGGAAGGAGGAAAGTGGGGAGGAAGGAAGAACAGTGTGAAGACAATGGCCTGAAAACTGAAAAAGTCTGTTAAAGTTAATTATCAGTTTTTGAGTCCAAGAACTGGCTTTGCTACTTTCTGTAAGTTTCTAATTTACTGAATAAGCATGAAAAAGATTGCTTTGAGGAATGGTTATAAACACATTCTTAGAGCATAGTAAGCAGTAGGGAGTAACAAAATAACACTGATTAGAATACTTTACTCTACTTAATTAATCAATCATATTTAGTTTGACTCACCTTCCCAGAACCTTCTAGTTCTTTCTTATCTTTCAGTGCTTGTCCAGACAACATTTTCATTTCAACAACTCCTGCTATTGCAATGATGGGTACAATTGCTAAGAGTAACAGTGTTAGTTGCCAACCATAGATGAAGGATATAATTATTCCTGTCCCAAGATTTGCTATATTCTGGGTAATTACAGCAAGCCTGGAACCTATAGCCTGCAAAACAAAACAAATTAGAGAAATTTTAAAAATATTATCTTCACAACTCATGCTTCTATTTTCTGAAAACTCACCTTCATGAGACTATATTCATTATTTTATCAGTAATGAACTAAAAAGTAAAGGTCTACTTGTAAGTTTATTGAGTTTCTACAGTAAGAATTTCCATGACTTCAGAATGCTGAAAGTAGAATATCAACAATCTAGAGTTCAATTACATATTCCTATCTCTTTGGATCTTTTAATACCAAGAAAACCTTCATTAATCACGGCAACATTACTAAAGCAATATCTGCAAATTAGCAAGATAAAGGAGTCTGACAAACTAGGAATGATGGAAATTTCCAATGTTAGGTATATTATTATTTGTAATTTAAGCCTAACGTTTGTCATTAATAATATTCAAATATATCTGGGTCTGTTTGAGATATAATGTTTAATTTGGAAAAAATACAGAGCTGAAAATTATGGAATTTAATTTAAGATAGTAAGCGCGCATTATTATCTTCCCCTTGAATTCCAGAGGGAGTCTGAAGCATGACTTTCACTAGTGTGCACTGAGTTCCAGCTCTAAAGCCAGAAGTCAAACTGCAAAGTGAATTTAATCCACCACTGTATAATGTCCAACTGTAAACCAGATTTCCAACTCTGAAACCAAAAGTCAAGCTACAAAGTCAGTTTAGTCCATCACTCTATAATTTAGTCCAGCACATCTCCTCTACCCTGGAAATATTCTGTGCCCTCAAGCCATTCCAAATGCCTGCCCTGGCCCCAGACCTGCCTTTTCTGAAAAGGGGCTGGGTAAAATAAGGCTGAGATCTACTGGGCTACATTCCCAGGAGGTTAGGCATTCTAAGTCACAGGATGCGACAGGAGGTCAGCACAAGATACAGGTCGCTAAGACCTTGCTGATAAAACAAGCTGTGGTAAAGAAGCCAGCCAAATCCTACCAAAATCAAGATGGTGACAAAAGTGACCTCTGGTTGTTCTCACTGCTCATTATACGCTAATTATAATGTATTAGCATGCTCAAAGACACACCAGCGCCATGACAATTTACAAATGCCATGGCAACGTTACCCTATATGGTCTAAAAATGGGAGGAACCCTCAGTTCTGAGAAGAGCCCACCCCTTTTCCTAGGAAACTCATGAATAATCCACCCCTTGTTTAGCATGTAATCAAGAAGTAACAATAAGTATAAGCAGCTGAGCATCCCATGCTGCTGTTCTGCCTATGAAGTAGCTATTCTTAATTTTTTCACTTTCTTAATAAACTTGCTTTCACTTTACTCTGTGGATTCGCCTTGAATTCTTTCTTGTACAAGATCCAAGAACCCTCTTTCAAGGTCTGCATCGGGACCCCTTTCTAGTAACAATAGAATCCTTTATAATTCCCTACATTAATCCCTACAAAATCATTTAACACCTGTCTGATATAAACACCAGACTAGTATTTAGGAAAAGAGTGCTATAACTATCAGTAGCCTTTAAATACATTAAATTCCATACCATGGAGCTGCACCAGGGCTGAAAGAGGTATCATAAATAATAGAACACCTGTATATTTTGTTGATGCAATCATTGAGCTTATATTAAAGGGATGATTTGCCAAATTTGGGATAAATCAGACTGGAATGGTTTTCAAAGCCAGCTCTCTGCATTTCACATCTTTAGTTTGAAGGTCAAAGGATGCAAGCTGGAGAACGGCTGTGGCACAGGGATGATATAAGTTGCTCCTGTTCTCAGTATCTACAAGTTCTACTCAGAGCTCATTTCCCACTGCAGCTACTGACTTATGGGCTTGTGAGAGAAGCTCTTAGAATATCACCTAGAATCACTTCTAGGTGTGAGTTCATGGCAGAGGAATTACCTGGCTATTTAACTTTTCAGACATATAAATGTGCAGCTTTGGATAGTAGTGAAGGGCCACAGAAATAAATAAGATGGATCAAAGATGGCAAATTCTTTAATGTACCAAAAAGAGTAACTAAGAAGTCTAAGACCTTAAACTGCAAGGAGATTTAACCCCTCGGCTTCATTTGATTTAGCACTTCAGACATTACACTGATTACTATTCCTTTATTCTGAAGATTAACACTCACTGTCCTACATCTATTTCTACAGAGTAGGAGTCTATAGAAATATGGGGACTAAGAAGAATGGAAGAGCACAGATTAGTAGCCAGAAAATTTTCATTGTAAAGACTAGGGTTGAGGGGAGGAACTAAAACCCGTCAGCCAAAAACAGGTCAGCTAGTGGTGTAAAGTAGATCCAACAGTCCTCTCTCAGTCAATCTGTGATAACAGCTACATTGGGCTTTCCTAGGTTGACAATGTTTGCCAACCTGCTCATTTCCTCTTCCCTGGTCTTTCCTTTTTAGCCACTGTTTTAAGTTCTGGAAAACAGTTTTGCTTGAGTGGCTCATATAAGGTGAGTGCAGCCATCTTGGCAGGGCCAAGTTTGAGGTGTCTTTGAGGAAACAAGTGAAAAGCAGAAGGTTGACCCCAGCAGGCAATTAGAGACAGTGAATATGGCAAAGGGCCTCACAAACAGCACTATGGAGGGAAAAAGTGACCACCAATTTTACAAATATAGGAACTCACTGTGGCCTAAGGCAGGTCATAACACCAGAGGAATTTGAGAGGCAGGAAGAAAAACTGCAATACAGAATGCCCTGAATACATCTGCTCTGGGTTCTGCTGCAAAAGACTGAGTTGCCTCCAGGATTGTGTCTTCCACGTCAAATGTGATGCGGGATATTTGTCCATCAAAGCACATGAGCCCATACCACAGGGTCTGTGTCATATTGTGCAATGTCACATTGCACTGGTTACTGTTCCTTTATTCCAAAGACTAATGCTCACTGTCTCATGTATATTCCTCCTACAGAGTAGGAGTCTATAGAGTTGTGAGGACCAAAATGAATGGAGAAGCATAGTAAAACTTATTTAGTAAACCAATTATAAAAAAGGTTTACTAAAGTTAGCAGTGCAAATTTCAGCCTTCTTGACATCTACATATGGATGTCTAATACAGACGTCACAAACTTACCATGTCTCATACAGAACTCTCCATTCTCCCCCAAGCCTGCTTCTCCAACAGGCTTCTGAATTTCATAAAGATCAACTCCAGCTGGGCATGGCAGCTCACACCTGTAATCTCAACACTTTGGGAGGCTGAGGCAGGGAGGATCACTTGAGCCCAGGAGTTCAAGACCAGACTGGGCAACATAGGGAGACCCTGTCTCTACAAAAAATTTAAAAATTAGCTCGACATGGTGGTGCACACCTGTGGTCCCAGCTACCAGGAAGGCTGAGAAGGGAGGATTGCTTGAGCCCATGAGTTCTAGGTTATAGTGAGCTGTAATCATGCCACTGCAGTCTGGCCTGGGCTACAAAGAGAGACCCTGTCTCTTTAAAAAAAAAAAAAAAAAAAAAAACTCCATTTTTTTTTCCACTGTGCAGGTAAAAGAATTTGGAGTCATCTTTAAATACCCTTTCTCTCATATCCATCATCTTATCCAACCAACACATTGTTGGCTGTACATCTAAAATATATCCAGAATTAATTATATCTTATAGCCTTTTGTATAACCAAATTAGTCTAAAACACTATCATCTCCTCCTGGATTACTGCAACAGACTCCTTCTATGCTTGCCCCCTTCGGCCTATTCACACAGTTTCTATAGTGATCCTTTCAAAATTTCAGATCATGTCACTTCTGTGTTCAAAACCCTACAGTGGTTTTCCATCTACTTCTGGATATAATGCTGACCTTAACACACTTATGACTCTTCTTTTCACTCACTTTATTCCAGCCACTCTGTCTTCTTTGCATTTTTTTTTTTTTTGAGACATAGTCTTGCTTTGTCACCCAGGCTGGAGTGCAGTGGTGCAATCTCAGCTCTGCAACCTCCACCTCCTGAGTTCAAGTAATTCTCGTACCTCAGCCTCCCGAGTAGCTGGGATTACAGGCGTGCACCTGTAATTACATTCTATACAACTTGATCTAAACCTTGTTTTTATTGTTTTGTTTGCTTTAGGCAAAGAAGTTTGTATTAAAACAACAATTACTAAGAGGAGCTGGTACTATGCCTTCTGAAACTATTCCAAACAATAGAAAAAGAGGGACTCCTAAGGTTTATATTTCAACGTTATAACTCTATGTATTTCCTCATTTATAGCTTAATTTATTCTTAAAGAAGCCCCATATATTAGATAGAAGAAATGTTAGTATAGTACTAACTTACAGAAAAGATTTAAAGATAAAGATGGATAAGGTTCAAGAGGGGAAAAGACACACCAGAGATTACATGAATTTTTTCAAATTCTACATCATTTTGTGGACTTTTGCCATAAACAGTTGTAGAAGAAATTGTCACTTCAGCCAAAAATCAAAACCTGCTGGTTCAATAGTATCTAGTTATATCAAGAGATTCATACAGTAGCAAAATTTAAGTTATTAAAATTATTAAAGTTTAAAGTTATTAAAGATAAAGACTGAAGTTATTCTATTCTTGCCTTAATTTTTTAATGTGCTTTTCATTTCCTTCAACCTATATTTTAGAGGATTGTCTTCCCTCCCTTCTGTAACCATAGTGACTCTAAACTTTCTTACAGCAATTAAATACATCCTTTCTTCAGTAGCAATTACTGTTTTATGTTGATTGAGCACTTTATACTCTCTTTTCTAAATAACTATTCTACATGCATCTTGTTAATAGCATGAATAACAGCAATAGCAAATGGTTTATAAGTTATCTATATGCTCTACAGTATATAATGTTTAAATAGTTAACATGTTGCTACAAAAAGCATGTGATATATTCGTAGGTTAGATATTTATTCAACATTTTCTTAATGATGATAACTAACACCCGTAAGGAGAAAATTAGTTTCATGCTGGGGTCCAAAATGGCCAATTAAGACAAACACCAGTAGAAAGGAGGCACGTACCCCTTTAACTTGAGCAGCATCATTGGCGAGCCTGGTAGTCAATGCTCCAGTGGTGTTTTTAGGGTCATCAAACCAACTCACATCCTGTGGCACAGAAAATGATTTTATTACCTTAAAGCTGTTTATGAGACTCTCAGCTCCAAGAGGGCAGCGATGGGGTCAGTTTTGTTTATACTTATACCCCCTGCATTTAGTACTCAGGATGTGACATTCAATACACAAGAAAGAAACTTAATATAAAAACACATAAATAGATCATTTCATTTGTCAGAAAAATTTCTGAGTGCCTACTTTCTCCTACGCATGATTTCTAAGTGTTGGACCTGTACGAACAAAAAAGACAAAGTAGCTGCTTTCATGAAGTTTAGATTCTAGAGATGGAAGGTACAAATAAAAGAAAAATTGAGCAGGGTAAGAAGAACAGAAAAGTGAGGGGAGGTGCTATTTTAGAGACTGGGGAGGGGAAACAGAAGGCCTTTCTAAGGGGACATCTGAACAGAGGCCTGAATGAAGGAAAGGATGAGAATACCTCAGGGAAAGCAGAAACAGCATGTGCAAAGACCCTGAGGCAAAGGCATACCTAATCTGTTCATACACCAGCAAGAAAGCCTTAAAGGCTGCCAGCAGCCTAAAAAGAACCTTTGTATGAATTTGTAAAAGCCACCCCCTTCCTCTGGACAGATTTGTGTTCTGATTTGGCTCCTCTGATCCTCCCCTCCCCTACTCTTGGGCAGTGAGCCACTGTTTATGGAGTAGACGGTGTATTGGAAAAAGGCGGTTATAGGAGATGAGATTTGAGAGAGAGTGGGGGCCACATAGTGTATGGTCTTACAGGCGACTGTCAAGATTCCAGACTTTACCCTGTGAGCTACAGGCAGCCTTCAGCAGGTTTGGGCAGTGGGATATGATTTGATTTCTATTTTAGAAAAATGACTGTGGCTGTTTTTAGGTGAATCTACAGGATTGGGATAAAAATGGAGGTAGGGAGATCAGTTAGGAAGCTTTTGCAATGTTAACAGAAAGAGAAGAGTCAAAGATGGCTTCAAGGTTTTTAGCCCAAACAACTAGTAGAACGGAGCTGTCGCTTACTGATATAGGGGAAGAGTGGGTAAGGAATAAGGCTGGTGGGGAGGGGAAGAGTCAAAAGCTCCATTTTGGAAATGTTAAACAGTGAAACTCTTATTAGACATCCAATAGAGAGGTTGAATAAGCAGTTAGATAAATGTAGCTCAGGGCAGTATAAGTGATTTGAGTCAAAAACAAATCAGCAAAAGTAATCCAGATTAAAATATAACATTCAACATAAAATAAGATTTTCTTTGTAAAACCATTTATATTTTTAAATACACAGATACTAACATGATTGTGAATTTGAAGTATGAATTTATATGTTTTACAAATAACTGTGGTCCCTAAGAAGTTATCTAAACTGGTTATTTACATTAAAGAAGTATCTATCATTTTTCCCAAAAATATTTAAGAAAAAATAGTGCTATAATTTATTATAGTATGTATCAACTTGCTTTTCAATATTCTTAAGTGGTTAAAAGTGTCTCCACACAGGAATGTAACTTCCTTGAACACAGGGACCATTCAGGTTTGAATGCCTTACAATACTAAGTACTAGACCTTGTAAGCAGAAGGCACTTAATAAATGCTTGCCCTACTTAACAATTTATGGAGGAGACATTCCACAAACCATCAGCTCAGCTGCCAAAGTATAATGGGCACAGCAGTTGGCCTGGAGGCTGGTTGGGTAATGGGAAATTTGGCCCTGGAGCAAGGTCAGTGTAGACCTAAGTGGAATCTGACTTATAAATACAGTTCGACCTGACAGTCCAAGGACAGGGTTTCCCATCAAACTGTGCTCTCTCACTTAGATTCAGTCCTGGCTCTGTCAGTCACTAGCTAGCAATTCCCATAAATACATTTTCTTTCTAAATGGTGATGGGAGGAATGGGGAAGAACTGAGGAACCAGAGACAGCTGGTAAAATGTGAATGCCCTCTAGAAAGCCTAACACACCAAACTGATGCCTCTTAGCCAGGGTTCGAGTACCCCTGGCACATCTGGGGCAGACTTCTAAAGCATCATTTTACTCAATGGCAAGTGATTAGTGATTTTTAAAACGGAAAGTTATTAGGTCACATACAAAATTTTCATGATTGTTAAAGGAACTTTCCCCTTTGAACCAGGCTGCTCTGAGTTACATTCCTCTAATTTCCTTCCCCATTTCCCCAGGAAAACATTCACACGTGTCAATGGTTAGGGTTTTGAAGCTGCAAAATGTGAGAAGCATTCCATTAAACCCATTATCAGCCAGTAACACTGCAGCTTGAACTAGTATTTCAGACTAGCCTCAGAAAAGAAAATGGGCAGTGAAGAACAGGACACAGGGATGAGTTTTGATTTGCGGAAAGAAAGAGTACAGAGGGCATCTCTTGGTGGGAAGAAACACTCGTGCCCTGGGTTTGCCAGGAGAAAGAAGGAAAGAGAGGAAAGGGATGAGGGGTATCAAAGATGCCTTCTGCCTGCACTGCCCACCACTGCTGAGACACAGGCTGGAGGTGAATCCACGCTGGAGGCTCTGTCTCAAACTGGTCCAGTTCCTTGTGCCCACCCAGACCTGACAGACAGTAGAGCCTCATCTGTGCCTAGTGGGCGGTTCAACCGCATCTCTGACGTGAGACTGAGGGACAACCAATATAGGAGCTAGGCCTGGGAAACATGACAGAGCTCCCACTGTCTGAGTCCAAGGGGCACACATGGGGAGTTCTACACATCCCAGGGCACAGCCCTCGATAGACATACCTGTCTGAGCATGGATCGGAAAACCATGTATCGGAGCCGCTTGGTGAGGATCTCTCCAGCTTTGCCAAATGTGAAACCCTGTGGGCAGGAACATACCTTGTCAGGGACCCAGCCACCATTTAAATAAAAGGAGGGAGAATTGATGTCTTTGCTAAAGCAGGAGATCAGACAAAGTCAGAAAGCCTGATTTCAAGGGCTTGCTATGTTTCTGTGACTGTGTGCCATGGCACAAGGCTGTACGGGTGGTGTAGACAGAAAAGCCCACTTTACAGAAGAAACTGAGGCTTAGAGAGCCTGATAAGATCCATAGCCCACAGTTATAAGGTCACAGAGTTGGAATCTTAATCCAGATGCATGAGAATCCTAACCAGAATGGGAATCCAGAGCCTGAGCTTTTAATTACCCACTGGACTCCCTCCCCATGTTACTAAGATGAGGAGTTGGGTGGTCTAACATCTTTAGGCATTTTGCTATCTCTAGACTTCTAAGGTCCTATAACTCATAGACTTTGTTCTCACCTGTTTTCTAGGCAAGCTAGGTTCCAGTCCCCCCAAGCACCATGTTATGAAGGTAGTCCTCTAACTTCTTTTGCTTCACCAATTCAAATCGTCAACATTTAAGGGACCAGCTCAAAGCCCACCTCACTCCAACTTTCTTAACCAAATTTACATTGAGCAATCTTTACCTCCTCCAAACACCTGTGGTATTAATAGTTGGTATGGCAATCCTATAAGTAGTTAGAGTGTCACATTTATTCTAGTAAGGTCAAATTCCCCAGTGAGGCTGTAAGTACTCAGTAAAGAAAGAATTCAGTCTGTTTTTTCTTTTGCACCTCTTATAATGTCCAGAAAAATATTCTATTTTTTAAAAATGTAATACATGCTTACATGTTAAATAAAGAGATCTAGTCACAGTTTTATCTTTAAAAATTACAGGTGGCTAATCATTCAATTAATAAGTGATTACCTACTACTGCCTCATGCAGGCCTGAGCACTTGGTCACATGATCCTTTTAATCATCAAGAGGCAGGTACCTGCATCCCTAGTTTACCGCTAAGGAAACAGAGGCTTAGACAGTTTACTTATGTGCCCAAGGACACAAAATCAGAAACAGGTACAAGGAGCACTTGAACCAAAACCAATACTGTCTTGCCATACCAAACAGTATTTATTTATTTATTTATTTATTTAGAGACAGGGACTCACTCTGTTGCCCAGGCTGGAGTGCAGTGGCACGATCATGGCTCACAGCAACCTCCTCCTCCTGGCCTCCTGGGTTCCTGAGACATTTCCTGCTTCAGCCTACTGAGTAGCTGAGACTACAGGTGTGGATCACCACGCCCTGTTAATTTTTGTATTTTTAGCGGAGACAGAGTTCCGCCATGTTGGCCAGTCTGGTCTCAAACTCCTGACCTCAGGTGATCCACTCACCTCGGCCTCCCAAAGTGCTGGGATTACAGGCATAAGCCACCACACCTGGCCCTCATACTAAACTTTTAGAGTACTTAATTCCTTGCCATTTCATTTCAGCCAAATGATTTGCAAGCTGTAAAAATCTGACTCTTTACAAATGTTTCCTACATTTTTTGTTGGAGGATTGACATTCTTCCATCACTGAAATGATTCTTTCTCCTTGAACAAAAGTTGAACGATAAACTCTTCAAACCCTTTTTAAACCCATGTGACCCGCTTATGGGGTTTTGTTTGTTTGTTGTTGCTTTTAGAACACGGGAAGACATTTCTTTGAGTATTTACATTTACTGGCAATACTTATATCCAAACTTACATCCAGGGCTCCCCCACACCCCATTTTGAAGTCCCTGCCTTTCACCTCCAATCATCATATCAGGCCAAATACTCTGTTCCCCCTGGTTTCATTGCGGGAGGTAAGGGTGGAGAGGAGAAGGTAAGCAAGGGAGCCAGAGGAGGCAAACATCTTTTTTCACTATGTCAGAAAAACTTGGCTGTTAGTAGCCATGTTAATAGAGAAGTTCTACTAAAAGGCCAATTACACTGATGTTTATAAATCCCCCCAGTTGAATAATGATGCATTTCTCAAAATGAATATAGTGAAAATGGAAACATTTACCTGAAGGAAAAATGTAATAAAAGAAATAATTCCAAGGGCTAGAAACAATAGTGAAAACAAGTTACTATTCTGTCGTTTTGTTTCAGGATCATCAATTCTTGTAAAAACCTGTGAGAAAACATTTAAAGGATTTTTAGTTCAATCAGTGAAGAACCCATCCTGGACCTGACCCATTTCCCATCTGGCCCAGTATTCAGGGGTCAGGAGAGCCTTAGTACGCTGGAAATTGGGGTTGGCTTTCCTATTGCCAGCCTTAAAGGTGTCTGCATTCTCCCTTCTGTGGAGGCCAAGGATAGGTCTATCATTCATAAATTGATCCAGTATTTTTTCTGTTCGGATTCCCTCTTGGAGTCATGAGTGCCACCTCAACTGTGTAAAGTTGAAATCAGAACAAATACTCTCCTCTTCCCTTGGTGGGGAACTACATTTATGGCAGTTCATTGCTTTACTATTTGGACATTTCAAACTGTCCCAAGGTGTCTGGGGAAAACCTGATGTGGTTTTTTGGTGAACCACAGAGTGGTGGTCATTCACTCAGCCCAGGCCTTTCAAAAAGAAAGGAATTTCCTTGAGCCTGCCTTCTTGGTAGGATGGCCAGTTAAGAGAGCCAGTTGGAAACTACAGCTACCTGACCTAGCACCATACCTGAAATTTTTTCCAGAGATAGTTATAAGGGCTAATAGGATGTTTTGGACTCAAGGAACACAGAGGATAACCATTCCTCAGGGAAAGAAAACACGTATCTCCCTTCACAGTGGGCCAAAATCAGTCTTGTAAGATAGTAACATTCCTAGCCCAGGACAGACAACTTTATCCTTCATAAAAAAACAAACAAATAACAACAACAACAAGGATTTTTGAAGAGATTAAATAATTTTTTTTGACTAGTCAGTCCAACAAAAATCATAACAATTACCAAATTCTTACTCTATGCCAGGCATTATTCTAAGCAAATTCATATATACTATTCCTCTAATCCTGGCAACTATCTCCAGAAGTATGATTTATTATCATCACGGTTTTACACAGATAGAAACTGAAGTACAGAGAAGGTAATTAATTTGCTCAAGTTAACACAGCCAGCAAGGGATGACTCAAGGATATAAATCCAGGCAATCCGATGCAGAGCCCACTATCTTCAATGAGGCAGATGTCTGGTTGCCTACTCAATATCTAAGAGCTAATATCCCAGCCCTGGGTCACTTACCTCCAGACTTATTGTCATATGAAGAATGAGAAAAGTATAAAATCATAAGTTGAGGTTTTGTTACAACCAAACCCATTCCTAACTTAACCATTTCCTTTTTTTTTTTTTCTCTGATGACACCACAGTCTACCCCCGCCAACCCCCAAAACCTGCAAGACACATGTTAGTGCAAGAATCAGCAAACTATGGGCCACTGGCCAAATGTTTATATAAAGTTTTAATGGAACACAGTCGTGTTCATTCATTTCCACATTGCTGTTGTGTACTACTAGGTCAGAGTTGAGTATCTGCAACAGAAATCATGTGGCATGCAAAGCCTAAAATATTTACCATCTTACTGTTAATAGAAAAAGTTTGCTGACTCCTGCCCTGGACCATATACTCTACAGAATCAGACATTTGATCACATTCTCGGAATTTTTTCAACAACTAGAAAAATACCTGGCACAGAGCAGACACAAAAAATAATTCTAGAGGCCAGGCATGGCAGCTCATGCCAGTAGGTGGATTACTTGAGGTTAGGAGTTCAAGACCACCCTGGCCAACATGGTGAAGTCCTATCTCTACTAAAAATACAAAAATTAGCCAGGCATGGTGGTGCAGGCCTATAATCCCAGCTACACAGGAGGCTGAGGCAGGAGAATCGCTTGAACCCAGGAGGCAGAGGCTGCAGTGAGCCGAGTTCGCACCACTGCACTCTAGCCTGGGCGAGAGTGAGCGAGACTCAAAAAATAATAACAATTCTTGAATAAATATATTTAATATTAAGCATGAATGTCATTAAACATGAATTCATGAATGAATATATTAAACTGAAATAAGCTAACCAGGCATGAGTAGACCTGAATAGTCATATATATTTTGTAGAATCAAAAGTCAGTGTTTAGCTTATGCTTCTTGTGGTGATCAATCTCTTTCTCCACAATGTTTTCAGCAGTTATGGCAAGGGTGTCCTCAGCTTGATGTTTGGACATATGTCACTAAACAGAGAGCATTCCTTTCAGATTGTAACTTTACTGTTGAAAATGCCACCATTAAGATGAGGTGGAACTAACACATGTCAACCTCAATCTTTAGGAAGCCGTTCCTATTTGTTTTAATCTTAGCAAGTGGGATGAAAATTACATCTTACAAAAGAAGCATGCTAGGCTTACTCACATCCTGGAAAGTATGTATGTTAGAGAACAGTGCATTCTCAAGCCAGCCTGACAAACATTTGAGGAACTCTCTTTGCACATTGGTGAAATGAAAGTTCACAAGATTTGTTCAGAGCCAAATGTTGGCAGGTATGAGAAAGTCATCTCATCACTTTCATTGACTATTTCAGGAAGCTGGTCTTTAGTTGCCCAGGTTAGAAACCAACTGTGATGACAAAGGAAGGTTCACAAAGTTAGCTCTCCTATCACAAACCAGACTGCTATTCTTACATCTTCAAGCCAATTAGTTTCATATGGAGATACGTGGATTTTGTTGTTTTTGTATCCCAGTTCAGACACAAGCACTTTATTCGTTCATTCTTCCATCAGGATTCACAAGTAAATCACACAAATGGGCATCACACTTACCCCTATAATCTTTGAAAATATTATTGCAAATGCTGGTTGCAGGCCTCCATTTATAATGGCACAAAATACACCAACAACAAAATAAGGCCATTCAGTTAAATTTAGCTTCATAATCCTCCAAAAGGAAACTGGAGGTATACTTTCATCCTAGAAAACACAAATTATTACAACAGGCTAGTTAAAAACTTTTATATGTACAATTCTTACATACGCACAAAAATTAGTAAAGGAATATATCCTATCCTTATTCCTTATCAATGAATAAGTGATGACAATTTTGCTTTAAAAAATGTCATAGTGATTATTATTTAGCTTCAAAAAAATGTTGACAAATTTTGCTACAATACTCCTTTATTTTTTAAAAAATAAATGATGTTTCCACAAACACTTACTTTTATTTGGTACTCAGAACCTGACAAGAGTATTTATAAGCAGGAGTAAACAGAATGGAAATTTTGATATTTGAAGACCCGCTATAGTCTCTTTACACTATAAATTTTAATTCTAAAAATTCTGCTGTGTAAATTAATACTTTTAAATTCTAACCTGATTCTAAAATGTTGACATTCTGGGGGATAGGACAGGAGGATTCTGGATAACCTCTCTTGTTCCCACTCCTACTGTAGCCCTAGCCCACCAAACTAGGGAACCACAGTTAGTGAGATTAAAACAAACTCCGCATCTCCCTTCATACCAGAGCCTCTTTGGTACTAAGCTTTCTGTCTTGGGCTTGTGATCCACGGACACTCCTACGAGTTGATCTTTTTCTTATTAGACTGGATCTTGAATCATTTGAAGACATTTCCAAGGCATCAATTTCACTTTTGGATTCATCAGCTGCATTTTCTAATTCAACTTCATTTCCTGCTGTCTAAAATAAATAAGAAATATGCAAAAGCTCATTAGGCTGTGTGTTAACCAATGAAAGCTAATCACTGAATGTCAGCTATCAAGGAAAACAGCAATTTGTTTAGTAACTGCAGAAAAGGATAAAGCTAATCTGCTGTGTTGTTTTATGTGTGTCTGTGTGTGTCTGTGTGTGTGTGTGATATTTGAAAACGAAAACCACCAAAGAAGAATTCCCACTGCATATACTGAAATAATCTGGCATTCATTCCATGTATCTTATCTTCTCACGCCATTTTTTGTGGGTGTTTTGACTCAATCAAGTTTACTCTGGATCAGTGCTTTCAACAGAAATATGGCACAAGCCATGCTATGAGCCATGTTATTTTAAATTTTCTAGAAGCCATGTTAACAAATGTAAAAAGAAAGAAGTGAAATTAATTTTAGTTATATATTTTATTTCACCTAATATATCCAATATATTATTGATATCCCATGATATCGTTTCAACATGTAATCAATATAAAAATTGAGATATTTTGCATTTTTTGTACTAAGTCTTCAGAACAAGATGTGCACACTCTACTTAAAACATTCCAATTCAGATTCACTACCATTTAAATGCTGTACAGACACATGTGGCTACTGACTACTATAACGGATAACTCACCTTGAAACCTTTTAATTTTTTTATCTGTTTATCCTTCTTTATTTTCCCCTCTTTCAAGAGAGAAAAAAAATCTTAAACACTGGTCTCATCCTGAATCCCCCAGGTGTTGTTTCCTACTTTGTAAGGTAATCAAATCAAATAATATTTATTTTTAGCATTAAATGCAAAATCAGTTTATCACTGAGATGACTTAGGAAAATTCTGAAGTTAAACTATACCTGCATTGTGACAAGTTTGAAGTAAATGCCTTTCTCTTTCATGAGTTCATCATGATTTCCTTTCTCCACAATGACTCCATCATCGAAACCAGCGATGACGTCAGCATTACGAACTGTAGACAAACGATGAGCTATCACAATGGTGGTCCGACCTTTTCTGGCCTAAAGAGAGAGAAATTTGGTTTTTGAATACATTAACAATTACCTGAAGAAACTTAACCATTCAACATATATTTACTGAACCAATGCTGTGGGCATTGTAAAACCATCAAATCTATATAAGATAGCCTCTGACTTCAATAAATGTATAGACAATTGATAATAGTTAAAAATGATGTTTCCTTGTAATAAATACAAACACAAATATAACAGTCACATATTAATATTATGTAAGCCCCCAAATATTTTATTTAACCTAAATTTGCAGTAATAATCAGGGGCTTGGGCCGGGCGTGGTGGCTCACGCCTGTAATCCCAGCACTTTGGGAGGCCAAGGTGGGTGGATCACAAGGTCAGGAGATCAAGACCATCCTGGCTAACACAGTGAAACCCCATCTCTACTAAAAATACAAAAAATTAGCTGGGCATGGTGGCGGGTGCCTGTAGTCCCCGCTACTTGGGAGGTGGAGCTTGCAGTGAGCCAAGATCGCACCACTGCACTCCAGCCTGGGTGACAGAGTGAGACTCCATCTCAAAAAAAAAAAATAAAAAATAAAAAAATAATAATAATCAGGGGCTTGTACAAACCAACAAATTCCTACAGACCAGGCGTTGGCCAATCAAAACAAACACAGGCCATTGTGCTGTACTGATACACACCGGCTAGTAATCAGCCCTAGGAATTATAATATCCTATCCCGCATGACCCCCTGGATGAACAAGACAGACAATAAATGTGAGGCAGCAAAGTCCAGACCTCAATGTCACACTGACCTGAAATAAATTTATGAATTTATTTTATCCAATAAAATATTTTATCCAAGGAAACTGTGTGAGACTCAATTTATTCATATGTAAAATGGGGATAATAATAGTATTTACTTCTTAGAGTAGTTGTGATGACTAAATAAAATAAAGCACATAAAGTACTCAACACTGTGCCTTATCCATAGTTAGTGATACTTATTCCTAGGTTGAAGAATTATGGAAAAATTGAAGAGTCACGTAAGTCTCTTTTATTTTCATAAAGGAACAGAGCCAGATATCCAGGCCTTGTCTGAGACTTCTCTAACCTTTGTAACTTTCCCAATGCTCATAATTTTTGTTACTCTATATGTCTCTCTAATAACTAGCAATACAATTCTCAAAACCAACACACAACATTTTCAGGATCCATAGGATAAGTAGAAGTGGAAAACTTCAAAAAGAAAAAATACACAAGGAAAAATTAGGTGGTAGAAACTAGAAAATACAGAAGAAAATAGATCAATTTTTGTATCTTTTTAAGAAAAAAGGGGTATGTGGAATTTCCCCTCAAAATTTACACCCTAAAGTATTTTAAAATATAACCTTTTAAAATTGTTTTTATTTATAATTTAATACATAGTTTCACTATAGATTAATAAGGAAACACAGATAAGCAAACCAGTAAGCAGTGGCTCACTCCTGTAATTCCAGCACTTTGGGAGGCTGAGGCGGGAGGATTGCTTGAGCCCAGGAGTCTGAGACCAGTCGGGGCAAGATAGTGAGACCTCATCTCTACAAATATATCAAAAAATAGCTGGGGGCTGGGCACGGTAGCTCACGCGTGTAATCCCAGCACTTTGGGAGGCCGAGGCAGGTGGATCACCTGAGGTCAGGAGTTCAAGACCAGCGTGGGCCACATGACGAAACCCTGTCTTTACTAAAAATACAAAAATTAGCCAGGTGTGGCGGTGCATGCCTGTAATCCTAGCTACTCAGGAGGCTGAGGCAGGAGGCAGAGGTTGCAGTGAGCCAAGATTGTCCCACTGCACTCCAGCCTGGGCGACAGAGCGAGACTCCATCTCAAAAAAAAAAAAAAAAAAAAAACCTTGGCATGGTGGCACACACCTGTGGTCCCAGCTACTTGTGAGGCTGAGGTGGGAGGATCACTTGAGACTGGGCAGCAGAGGTTGTAGTGGCCATGATGGCACAACTGCACTTCAGCCTGGTGACAGAGTGAGAAAAGAAACAAGAAAAGAAAAGATAAGATAAGATAAGAAAAGAAAAGACAGGAGAGGAGAGGAAGAGAAGAGAAGAGAAAAAAGAAAAGAAAAGGGAGGGGAGGGGATGGGAGGGGAGGGAAGGGGAGGGAAGGGAAGGGGAGGGAAGGGAAGGGGAGGGAAAGGAAGGGAAGGGAAGGGAAAGGAAGGGAAGGGAAGGGAAAGGAAGGGAAGGGAAGGGAAAGGAAGGGAAGGGAAGGGAAAGAAAGGGAAGGGAAGGGAAAGGAAATGAAAGGAAGGGAAGGTCAGGAAAGGAAAGGAAAGAAAGGAAAGGAAGAGGAAGAGCAAGAGAGGGAGGGATTGAGGGAGGGAGGGAAGGAAGGAAGGAAGGAAATAAAGAAAGAAAAAGAAAAACACAGAGATGAAATCACAGATTAAGCAAAATGAGGGGAAAAATAGTAACCAGAATCCCATCGGCCTCTATTTTGGTTCACAGAATGTTTAGTAAGCTGCTTTTTTTCTCTCTCAAAAATTTATTAAGCACATTGACAGGATGTTAAGGAACATTCAAGTGTTGTTTTATTAGAGACAGGGAGAGTTGAAACAAATATGAGTTCATCTTTGAATTCTACTGTGACATCTCAACTTGGAACACCTTTGGTTATAATGTCTCCATCTCCACATTCTCGGTCCTCACAGAATTATCCCCGTTACTATCACGTGCTGGAGATCAAAGGCACAGTGCCCGGCACACGGCAAACACTCAAATGCTATTTGGTGAATGAGTCATATGGACTCCAGAATTGCAGGACAGTCAAACTCTGTTGATAGTCAATAACCTGTCATGGCTTAGGTAGGTTTTCAGTATCACAGGCTATCTGCCCCTTTCCTGGAAATAAGAGGTTTCTTATTTCGCATAGAGTCTTCAAGTGGCATTCAACACCTGGAAAATTATATATGGACCTTCAGGTTGTATTTTTCTCTTCTTGGCAATATTACAAACTCTCAAAACCTAAATAACAGGGTTATCCACATAGTCAAGTTTTGAAGATCACAATGAAGATGAACTTTCACATGTGTCTATATTTCTATTTTTTAATTTAAAAGATTAGCAAGTGTCTTCAAATGAAAATGTATTCATCAACATTTAAAATAAGATCAGAGAAATAAATAGAAATTGAACAATAAAACAAACAAATAGAAAAAGATTTCAAAGAGGCCCAATGCTTTTATTTTAATAGCTGAAGGAATCACCTAGAAGCTATCAGAAATTTCCTTTTCTAAGACCAATATTAACAAGAATTAGTAGTAGAATGTTCTTATGCTTATAAATCAGGTTGGTTTGAACTAAGCCTCACTGACCTTATCCAGAGCCACCTGAACCACTGCTTCGCTTTCTGTGTCCAAGGCTGACGTGGCCTCATCCAGCAGGAGGATCTTGGGGTTGCGAACCAGGGCACGTGCAATGGCGATCCTCTGCTTCTGCCCACCACTCAACTGGGCCCCTCTCTCTCCAACCAGGGTGTCAAATTTCTACCACAGAAAACCCAGAATGATTTAGCATAAGGACAAGCTATCTCAGCTCATATTTTAAATTGGTAAGGAATCCTATACACAGCCCAAGTCTCACAAGTAATACAGGTCCAGTTCTTTAAATCTTATTTAACACAATAACCAACCTCAGTTTTTAAAAATGTATCTACGACCAGTTGATACTGCTAGAGCTTTCAAATCTGAAGTAATCTTACTTTCCCTTCTTAGGATTTCCCTTCTTCCGATTTATAGTAGTTTCCTAACTTCCTGCATAGTAGGCCTGCATTTTATTTTTTGCACCTCTAGAAAGGCAAAGGGCAAGGACAACTTACATGAGGCAGTTTCATGATAAAGTCATAGGCATTGGCTTCCTTGACAGCTTTCTCAATCTCATCCATGGTGACATTTTCACGGCCATAGCGAATGTTTTCAGCTATCGTGGTGGCAAACAATACAGGTTCCTGACTCACCACACCAATGATTTCCCGTAGAAACCTTACATTTATGGTCCTAATATCCTGTCCATCAACACTGACCTGGAATAAAAAGTAAGTGTGACTTTCATACATTTGTAATTGAAAGGGCAACATCAGAAAGATGTGCAATGTGACTGCTGATCACCGCAGGGTCTAGCTCGCATGGGTCATCTCACCATCCCCTCTGTGGGGTCATAGAGCCTCTGCATCAGCTGGACTGTTGTGCTCTTCCCACAGCCACTGTTTCCAACCAGGGCCACCGTCTGCCCACTCTGCACCTTCAGGTTCAGACCCTTCAAGATCTACCAGGACGAGTGAGAAAAAAACTTCAAGGCAATTCACAGACACAGGATATAGGAACTGACTGTTCACTAGGTTTAAATATACATGCACTTTTTTATAATCTCTACAAGAAAACATCAGAAACTCTTCATTCAATAGATTAATTGTTGATTAATCATTTATCACTGTACCTTAACTTCTTTTCGAGATGGGTAACTGAAGTGAACATTTCTGAATTCCAAATTTCCCTTAATATTATCTGGTTTGTGCCCACTCTTCGAATAGCTGTCAATACTTGGCTTCTAAACAGAATCAAATTTTAAGAGATTACTAGGTTACAATAACTACTTTTAGTGATATTTTGTGGAGAGCTGGATAAAGTGACAAAGAAATTGACTTAACTGGACAATCTTTTAGATAGGTGGATAGATGGCCAACTCAGACTTACATTATCAATTATCTTGAAGATTTCATAAGCTGCTCCTCTTGCATTTGCAAATGCTTCAATGCTTGGAGATGCCTGTCCAACACTAAAAGCCCCAATTAATACAGAAAAGAATACCTGAGGAATGTGAAGAAAAACCATCAGGCTACTGAGATAGTGACAGCAATTTTTTTTCATACTTCTTCTGTCTTTTTCTAACATAGGTAATTAAAATTTAAAATGGCGAGGCAACATATAAATACTAGGTGTTAAAAATATTTTAAAAGTTTGTAACTAACAGTACATTTAATTCCTTTTTTCATTTTTTTTCCTTTTTAAGAGACAGGTTCTCATTCTGTCACCCAGGATGGAGTGCAGTGGTGCAATCATAGCTCGTCATAACCTCTACCTCCTGGGCTCAAGCAATCCTCCTGCCTCAGTCTCCCAAGTAGCTAGGACTACAAGCATGCACCATCACACCTGACTAATTTTTTTTATTTTTTCTAGAGACAGGGTCTCGCTACGTGTCCCAGCCTGGTCTCCTGGCCTCAAGCAATCCTCCTGCCTCAGCCTGCAAAAGTGCTGGGATCACAGGCATGGGCCACCACACCCAGCCAAGAGTAAATTTCAAATGTGTCACCTCAAAAGGTGTCAAGTGAGGAGATAGATATGTTAATTAGCTTGCTCTGATCACTCCACATTTTGTGTGTATGTGTGTGTATACATAAACATCACATTGTATTCCGTAAGTGTAATGCAATTATGATTTGTCAATTAAAAATAGCATAAAATTTTTTTAAAAAAATTTTAAGACAAGGTCTTGCTTTGTTGCCCAGCCTGGACTGCAGTGGTGCAATCTTGGCTCACTGCAACTTCAACCTCTGGGTTCAGACAACCCTCTCACCTCAGTCTCCGAAGTAGCTGGGACTACAGACAAGTGCCACCATATCTGGCTAATTAAAAAAAAAAATTATAGAGATGAGATCTCACTATGTTGCCCATACTAAAAATATTTTGGAAATATAAATACTTTTCAATTTAGAATGCAGAATTAGTCTTACTTGCTCAATAAACAATGATTTAAATTTCACAGGGCTAGAATATTATAATAGGATATTTTTATATTTCTTCAATGTCTAGTTTTTTTTTTATTTAGATCATCAGTAAGGTAAAGTGGAAATAAATGCTAGCAGAGGAGTCAGAAGACCCAGTTCTGAATCCTAAATTAGTAATAACTAGTTATATGTTGTTAGGCCATTCTCTTAGAATCTTTGGCTTCAATTTCTTCATTGGCAAAAACAGGCAAGATTCTATCTGTTCTCCCTACCCAGCAATCATAGAGATGTTGTATCATGATAAAACAGTGTATATGAACATTTTTTGTTAATTATAAAGCACACACACCTAAGACACTGATCCTTTATCAGGTTGTCTTTTTTGCCACAAGGCCGTGTTCTCTTTAGGCCTTTTGTTTTTTTGTTTTGTGCAAATCAGTTTCTTATTGGTAAAGACTTAACTGTGTTTCTCTTTGGGGTTGATGAGAATTAATGTCATTATTCATTTTTTCTAAATCACATGGAATTATATTGCTCAATAATTTACACAGAAGGAACTTTGCTAAGTGATTCTATATTCATTATCTCAGTTAGTCCTCAAAACACGCTGAAAGTTAGGGTTCATTCCTGTCATATCATTTGGCAGAAGAGGTAGCAGAGGCTTGAAAAGTTTAGCTGGCTGCCCTAAATCATACAGCTAATAAGTGACAAAGCTGCCATTTGAATCAAGTTGGTCCGATATCAAACCCCACACTCCCTATTTTGGATGCCTCCAGTGTGTGAAGTATATTCATGCCCAGTGAACACTGGATTTAAACTGCTTATCTCAATCACAGTTAAACAGAAAACATCTGTTATGACAACCAAGGATCACCCACAGCATCACTATACTAAAAAAAAAAAACTTCATGGGAAAAGCCATTCCCCACTGAGCAATGTTGGATAAGGCAAATTTGAAAAAAAAAGAAAAAGAAGTGATTATTGAATCCATATTACAAATCTGGCTCCTGAAAAAGGGAATTGTTTTAAGGGATTCTACAAAATATCATCTCTCATTGCCTCAATCTATTTCTGCTTGGCCTACGAAAAAGGAACTAAGTGACTCTTCTAACAGTGTATTTTATTAGATCCAGATATGAATTGAGTTTGGTTTGCAAATTATTTCATTGTCTTTAAAATAAAAGAGGATAACATTAAATGGCAAGACTTCTGTGCTTGCACAAAGGTCTATAATGCAGAAAACTTCCAAACAATCTTTTAGGAAGAGGAACAATTTATACTTCCATAATTTGTGAGGTGGATTAGCTGCCATTCGAAATAATTTGAAAAGAAGTCAAAATGTGTATTTTGCCATTTTTGTGAATAGTAAATCAGAAAATAAAAGTGAAGTGTTTAGCAACAAGTTTGGCACAAATAATCTCAACAAATAAAAGTTCATGCTATTGAGATTGCTAACGTTAATATTATTTAGGCTACAGGATAAATTGTGCAAGATATCTGCAAAAACAAACAAGCAAATAAAAGAAAAAACTGGTTGTCGGATGCATCTAATTTTTTTCCACTTTTTTTTTTTTTTTTTTTTTTTGAGACAGTCTTGCTGTGTCACCCAGGCTGCGGTGCAGTGGCGCAATCTCAGGTCACTGCAAGCTCCGCCTCCCGGGTTAACGCCATTCTCTTGCCTCAGCCTCCTGAGTAGCTGGGACTACAGGCGCCCGCCACCACGCCCGGCTAATTTTTTGTATTTTTTGTAGAGACGGGGTTTCACCATGTTAGCCAGGATGGTCTCGATCTCCTGACCTCGTGATCTGCCTGCCTCGGCCTCCCAAAGTGCTGGGATTACAGGTGTGAGCCACCGTGCCTGGCCTTCCACTTTTTAACCTAGTAGTGCATATGTCTGTAGTATTCAACAGTTGTTCAAAATATATTCTTCTAAAGTCAAGCCAACATTACTGGATTTCATTGGCATTTTATAATAATGGTTCATTTCTCAATGTAAACCACTTACAGTGAGTACTTGTCCAATAGAATATTCCCCTGAGAGGACCAAGGTGGTCCCATACCAGAAGGCCAGAGCATAAGATGCATAGATCAGCAGGAAAGCAGCACCTATAGAAATATTGGCTGTAATAGCTTTCTTTATCCCAATTCTTTTAGCTTCTTCTAAATTTTTGTTGTACCTGAGAAAAAGAACAAAAATGATCACATATACATTTTATGAAAACATGTCGATATAGCATGATAGTTACAGAGTGGCTAGGATGTGTTCAGTCCTGTGATATACATGCATTTTGTCCTGCTGCTCATACATTGACCCTATATAGTAGTACTGTTTTACTCCCTTTTTGCAGAAGAAGAAACTGACATTTATAGAGATTAACTTATTTGTGGGGGAGTCTTCTAAAATTTCCTTCTCTGGCTTTAGCAATAGCAAATAAGTGAAGCAATATTTAGCAAACTTCTAAAACTTACATTGTTTCATACACAAGACAAAGTAAAAGCCATGGAAAAAACCTGTGTCTTTCCTTCAAAATCTGCATGCCTCTTTAATTAATAAAATGGAGAGATAATGTTAGAAAGTACTAAAAAAAAAAAAAAGGGACAGTCATTTAAATCTCTGAACATTAAGGAAGTTTGGAGACAGTTTGCTCTCTGTCCTGCCTTCCTCTAGGACTGTCGGAATGACCAACTGAGAGGTTACATGTGTGAGAGCATTTTGAGAGTTCTGAATTGCCATGTAATACTTTTTACATTTAAATAAGCTGTACAATTTATCTTACTTCCGTAGACATTTATTTTAAAAATCACTGACCTACAAAAATTATTTGGCTTACAGGTTTATAAAAGCACATCATTATTCATCAGCATTCCCTCTCTTCCTTCTCCTTTCTACATATTGACTATGTGTCCTTCCCTCTATTAATGCTCCCAACACTTGTCATGCCATAGCTGCCAGCTGCTGAACTAACAGGATCTGACCTGGTGGCTTGGGCCATCCACGGCTTCTGACTAACTCAAGGGCTGAGAAAAATTAAATTATTAGCATATCTATAGCCCTGAACCCATTCATAGCACAAAGGCCTACCCTACATTAACCAAACCTGGTGAGGACCCATTAATACTTCTTAGAGCAAATATAGGAAATTGTACAAAAGGGGCAAAAATGAGCAAATGAAAAAAAATCGAAAAACAATGTTGGAGTCACTGACAGATTTTATTTCTGCAGTTCTAATGACTTACAGGTTATTCCCAACTGATAATTCAAATATTTTTTAAACCCTCAGAGGGTGGTCAATTTTTGACGGTAAAGTTAAAGGAGATGATGTCTATAACTCGACCTTCATTTGAAAGGAACAGAGAAGACTACTCTGTTTAAGAGGATAGCTATGGAGATAAGCTAATGGAGCCCAGAGTTAAAGAAAAATAAGGAATTTTGCAAATGTAGAACCAAGGTAAAAGGATTAGAGAAACAGGACAGATTGCCTTAAATCTGTCTGTATTTTCTTAATCGCAACTCCCTGCAGAACCTAGAGCATTGCCTTGGATAGAGGAGGAGCTAATAATTGTTGAAATTCATGAACTTACTTCCATATAAAAGTCATACTTTAAGGTCTTTGATCCATAAATTCACAACTATATAAATATTATATAGCATTATATTAATTTCCTTTGGAGAACTTGTTCCATTAGCATGTACAGCAGAGCTCAAGCACTGTCCAGATATGAACATGCATTGTTTCTTGCTTTCATGACTACTTTAACTAGGTACATTACAGAGTTACAAAAGCATGCCAAGTGAAATTTACATCACTACCGTGTTCACTAAAGATGAAATTTAAACAGAACTTCATAGTGACAACATAGCAACACATCATTAGTTTCTACCCCCCAAAATGTAAATCCTCAACTTGCCAGTTATCATCTGAACAGAAAAATTATTTTTGAGAAACGTTTCAATTATTTATATACACATATGCACACACACACAACACACAGACACATACATATCTCTCACTTTATGAGTTGATCTGAGGTAAAAGCTACCACTGGGCATAACTTACATAAGAATATATTTAAGGACATTTAATACATATGTACTATACTCTGTTATCTCCTTTATTTCAGTTCTCGCTTACCAAGACTAACGTAGAAACCAGTCTGATGTTGTCCTATGCAGCCAGAGGAAACATTTGCACAGAAGCACAAGGAAGAAAATCATTTAGACATCAGAAAGGAGAAATAAAGGAAAGAAGGGGGCAAAGGGAAATGAGATATAAACAATACTCCTTTTCCATAAGCTCTTTGTTGTTTTTCCATACAAATGCCATACATAAAACTAGATATTAAAATCATCCATTCATCAAAGGCTTTAGTACAGAAATGGTCATGAAAGTAGGAATGACTAAAAGAGACTAAAGTTATATAACAAAACCATTGGTATGTAGGAAATATGACTCTTCTTAAATATTGTGAAAATATTTATCAATAATGCAAGTAACTACTTTAAGAATAAGGAACAATTTTGGTTAAGCCAACAGAAATAAATATTAATAGATAAATATATTTTCAAGGCACATAAAAGAGAGAAAAATATTTTTAAGTGAAAAGGAACAAAACTATTCTATACGATTGAATGGAATTTATTTTAACTTCTGGTTAAATTTCCATTCAAAGAGAGCCAGCTTCCCTCCTGCACTGCTAATTTGAAGAGAAAGCCAGATTAAGACCTCAATTACTTTATGTAGAAGCAGAGAAGGGAAGGAGAAGAACAGGAAAGAAAACTGATTATGTCTGGTCTAAGAATAGTCATCAATTCTACTTTCAAGTTATATCCCAAATCTAGGTACCTGTCACCCCTCTCCTGCCTCTGCTCCAGATCAGGGAGATGCTCTGGCCTGGACCATTCTGCCGGCCTCCCCACTGGTCTCCCTGCTTCCACCCTTTGACTTCTCGCATCCATTCATGAGACCCATTACAGACAAACAATCTGAAAACATAACGTGGATAGTCATTCCTCTTTTTAACACCCTCAACCACTCCCCTGTGCCCTTAGAATACAATCCTAACTCTTCATCATGGCCCATCATCCCCACATTCTGGCCCCTGCCCACCCCAATCTCCCCTCATTCAACTGAGCTTCAGTCATGCAAGCCTTATGACGTTTCCTAGAACATACTAAATTCTTGGCCACCCCAGGAAACTTGGAAGACTCTTCTTCAAACCCATCCCATCTCTGTTCCCACCATGGCTTGCTTTTTCTCATCCCTCAGGTCTCAGCTGAGATGAAACCTCCTCAAAGAGGCCTGCCCCAACCACCGTATTTAAAGTTAACTTGACCATTCATCATCCTCACACTCTTTGATTCTTTCAGATCACATTTTTAAATCAATATTTTTATTTTTTTCTTTGACGATTCCTTATATTTCTTCCTCCCTTTCTCCATTCCTTCCATTTTTATCCATTTTACTATTTTGACTGAAGATCACAAAATAACCTCTGTTTCTGATTCACAGCTGAAAACCTAGAGCCCTAGCTTTGTTTAGAACTTTATAAAATAAAAAAGAAAAGAAAAGGAAAACCTAGAACCTAGCACAGTGCCTGGCATGTTGTAGGTGCTGAATAAATTTGTCAAATAAATAAACTTTAAAGAAATGGCCAACTTGGGAAGGACATTAGGCCATCAGTTTGTAGTCTTACGTCAATTCTTGATCTCCAAGCAAAATTAGTTTCAGTTCTCTGAAGGAGACTGCCCTTTCAAAGATACATTCAAGTAACTTATATTTTCTGAAGAAATGATTCCACATGTAAAATACTACTTAGAGCAAATATAGGAATCTCTGGATATAGCTGTGTAAGTCCATTTGTTTATTCTTCTAATTAAAATTTGATCATTTTTGCTAGGAAAAATATTTTCATATCTAACTAATTAAAGCACTCCATTAAATCTGAATCCCTTTAAACTTTCAGTGAACTAAAATATCAGATTTATCTAAGTTACAAATGTTGGGCTTCACTCCCACAATGTCCATTTCCTCCTTCTCAGGTTTTATTCCATCCATCATTATAGTTTTTGTTGCTAATAATGTCCTTAAAAATATTGTCAGTTCCTCAAATTTAAGATGTCTTTAATTGTAGCAAGTACTGGTATTCTGTCATTTTATAAAGCATTAAGAAATGAGTTTAATAGAACATTCCATATGCAGCTAGGACTCAAAGGGCTATACCTCAGTATATTAAGCAACACACAGCAGAACTTGCATGTCTCAGTCTTGGCACCAACCAGGTGAAGGAAGGAAAAAAACCTCCCTGAGAATCTGGACCACAAAGTAGGACTCATGCAGGTCTGAGCATGAATTCACACTACCAGTGTTGTCCAAAAACAACTAGACACATAATTTAATGTAAGGTGGTCTCAGGTTAGCAGTGCCCTTGGTGAATAGCAGAAGCAAACATAAATCCTGCCTGATAGAATTGGACTTCAATCCAGATCCATAGCAAATTTAAGATGGCACTGACTGTTAGGTTTATTTCCATTTCAGAGATGATGGATTCATTCTGAATGGATGAAATACTATATATTTTCTAATTGTTCATTCCTGGTTTACAGGAATGCCATTTATTCTGAATAATGATAGGTACCCAGAGATCTTATTGTATTTTGTTAGCTTATAAAACCTACTGGAATTTCTGTGTAGACAATCTTATCGTCTGTGAATAACGACAGTTTTCTTCCTATTTTCCAATACTTACTGTTTTTCTTTTTCGTTTTCTTTTTTTCATTCTTACTCTTATTTGTTTTATTGGTCTTATTATCTAGTACTAGTACAACAGTACATAGAAATGATAGTAAACACATTTGCCTCATTCATTATTTGTTTTTTATTTTTTAAATTGACAGACAAAATAGTATGTATTTATTTCATTCATTATTTTAAGTGTTAAAATATTTTTAATGTTTCACCACTAAATGTTTCCTGCGGGTCTCTAATATATTAAGAAGGTTGTTTCTTATTCCTAGTTTTACGAGTTTTTGTCATGAATCATATATAATTCATGCTTTTCCCCTTACATCACAACAAATTTTTTCTTTTAGTCTATTAATATGGTTAATTATATTAATAGATTTCCTAATGTTAAAACCATCTTTCCATTCATAGGATAAAGCCAACATGTTCAGGATGTTTTCAATTTGGTATTTTTCACATGGATTTATTTAGCTAATTATTTATTTATTTATAATTTCTGCATCTATGTTTTAGGTGAAACTGTCCTTTAGTTTTCCTTTCTCATATTATATCTGCCTGGTAATATAGTATCAAAGTTACACTAGCCCCATAAAATGAACTCACAACTTTTTTTTTCCATTTTCTACAACAATTTATGTAAGATAGGGTTATCTCTTTCTTGAAGTTGTGGTAGAACTTGCCTACAAAATTATCCAGACTTGTTTTGTGATTTCTGCTTGTGGGAGAGAAGCAGTGGAAAATGGAGATTTTTAACTTTGAATTCAATTATTTTAACGATTATGGGTTTACTCAGATCTTCTCCTTCTTAAGTGAGAGTTTTAACCTACATTTTTCTAGCATATTATCTATATCATGAGGGTTTTTAAATTTATTGGTATAAAGCTGCAATTTAAAAATAGATTTTTTAATCTGTTACAAGTTTTCCCTATTCATTCTTTTTTTGTTCCTGATTAAACATATAAAATAGTTATTTATAAGTCTTTTTAAAGAATTAGTTTATGGATATGTCAATCTTCCACTCTTTTGCCTTTATTTTCTATTAAATTAATTTTTGCTCTTACCCTTATTATTTCCTTCTAATATTTTATTTTTCTTTCCCTAACTTCTTGATTTAGATGTTTAGTTCTTTAATTTTCAATAATTTTGTATTTCTTCTACCAGATACTCTGGTATCACTGGATTAGGACTCATTTTTAATGTGAAATCCTCAGCTTTGGAGAGAGATTGTTTCCTACTTCACAGAGTAGTATAAATTCAGACCCCATCTGCAGATAGCAGTCAGGCCTGAGAATCTAACTTCTATGGGGAGATGTTTTCCTCCAGCTGAGAAACCAGGAAGAAGCTGTTAAGTTTTGTCTGTCTTCCAATGCTGTTGGGCTGTTGGGCATATTATTTTTCTGGTCCACCTTTTCTCTGAGGAAAACTGGAAAAGAATTCCAAACTCAAAACTTCATTATGTCTCTGCTCAAATATCAACTAATCAGAAAATATTTTTCTGAATAACTTATCTAAATAGTATCCTCATGATTCTCTTATTTTATTTCCCCAAATAATATTTACCCCAACTGGTGTATTACCTATTTGATTATTTGTGGTTGTCTGTAACCTTACCACCCCCATTAGAATTTAAGCTCCATGAGAGCCGGGGATTTATTTCATTGAATATTTGCTCAGTCATTAAGCAGGACTCCTCATTTTATTAGCCAGACATCTTTTAAAGCAAAAGCAAAGACTTTAGCAAAAATCAAAATGGAACATAGATATTGCTTTCCTTTGAACTATGGCACTTAACCATTATAAATTATTCTCAGAAGACATATATTTATATGTGTGAATATACCATAGAACAAAAGTACTCCAAACACATATGCACAGTTAAAAAAATTATGCAATGAATACTCATGTAAGTATACCTGAGATCAAGAAACAGAACACTGCCAGAACCACAGAATCCCCTGCTGTGTGTTCGGCTCTCCTTACACAACTTCTCATCTTCCCTAGAGCTAACCATTATTCTGATTTCTGAAAATTCCCTTGGTTTTCTTCATGGCTGTACCAAACAATGTATAACCCCCTTAACCAATACAGTTTACTTTTTCATACCTTCAAAGATATTTATATTCATAAGATTGAAGTGTTATAGCATCAGAATATTATAATTTATATTCAATTTTACATAAAATCTGTTGCTGCTTAGAAATCAGTAATCTGATTTATATTCTAAATTTCAATAAATTACCATCTATGCTTTCAGAAATCTAATAAAAGGGAACAGTTGTAAGCATAATACTAAACAACACATAATATAAAAGATTTTGAACTTTTGTACACATAAGTGCTTTTTGGTTATATTTTTATCTTCCAAATCATGTAGCATATGTCAGCTGAATAGGGGCAGAAAGGAAAATGAACCACGGATTAAAATGTCCCCATAGATCTTACACAAAATACTCAGTCAATATTAGAGAATCACTAATTAACTTGATAGAGGAAAAAAATCAGAGGTATAAAATACATTTCAGTCTTTGGAAACTATTTTTATGTTATTGCCCATCTAGAAAACTCTTTGAATTAGCAGATAAAAGAAAAGTACAATTAGAATTGCAACTTCTCCAAAATATTAGTTATGCTGTAATACATCCATTAAGCTATTTAAGAAAACATATATATGGGAGAAAATGCTTATAAATAACACTGTCAATCTGAAGGGCATTTGAGAAGACAGAATTTAACATATCTATCCATTTAAAAAAGAAACTCAAACCTTTCAAGTTCTTTCTTTTGTCCTCCAAATGCAATCACAGTTCTAATTGCTGCCAAGACCTCTTCAGCTACTGCTCCAGCTTTTGCATACGCTAAGAGTTCTTTATCAGTAAATGAAGATAGTATCTGTTTAAAAATACAATTTTGGATCATGAAAAAAACACGTTAATTTTATCTTTTGTAAAGTAAAAATAAATGTATACATAAATGCTGCTTATACATTAATGCATGTGTAGAGCAAAATCTGTCTTTTACTTGCCTTTGGTCTGTATTAACAGCCACTGAAGTAAACCTCTCCCTGAAACCAGCCACTGATGCATGAACTTGGGTCCCAGAGGGTCCTATTATGAAAGCTGGATCAATTGCAATGGGAAAAGGGCTAACGTTATTGTACCTAGAATGCTGAAGTGGTCAACTACCTAAATAAAGATTACACATGACAGGCCAGGTGTGGTGGCTCACACTTGTAATCCTAACATTTTAGGATGCCAAAGATGAATAATTGCTTGAGCCCAGGAATTCTAGACCAGCCTGGGCAGCATGGCAAGACCCCGCCTCTACAAAAAAATTAAAAATTAGCTAGGTGTGGTGGCACATGCCTATTGTCTCAGCTACTCAGGAGGCTGAGGTGGGAGGATCGTTTGAGCCTAGGAGGACGAGGCTGCCGTGAGCAGTGGTTGTGCCACTGCAGTCCAGCCTGGGCAACAGAGTGAGACCCTGTTCTCCCCACCCCTCCCCCAAAATTACACAAAACCAATTTATTTTAAAAATTCTGATTAAATAGAATTATATTCTTTCAATAAAAAATTCATAGGCACTTGTGGACTCATTTATGTAAGTAACATTGATCTATCCCTTCTTGGCATAAAAAGCTCAAAGTTGTTTGGGTTTTGACAGTGGATTTCTCCCTTTCCTGTGTGTGAAAGTAAAAGGAGCTATGACAGCTAGAGGAATGGGTGGATGAAGGCAAATGAACATTGATTAGTTATGTTCTAAGTGCAGACATTGTGCTGCACGTACCTAGCCTCTTTAGTACCCAAAATAATATTCCATTGATTCACTAGACATTCCTGACTTCTCAAAGCAATCTTCCTGGGGCTGTCCCACCATATTTGCAGAACCATTCACGGTAGGAGGTCTGAGATAGGGTGGCCAGCGCCATCCCTTAACAAACATCTGTAGAATAGAGGAGGCTCATACAACATGCTTTAGGAATGTTTTTCTGCTCCTTCTGAAACCTCATGGTGCCACAACAATTGCCACAATGGAGACAACCAAAAATAGGAAGATCACTTCAAAGTGATACTTTAAAGAAATACTTTAAAGTTAGGAGTGTTTAAAAATGTTATTTTAATTTATTATTAATATATCAAACACCACAATGAATTCTACAAATCTAGCTCCCTTTTCCTTCTATGACCTTCCATCATTATAAGCAGACAAAAGTATGGTTGAATCTTCATTAAGTGTTGTGTTTTTCAGGAGATCATGTCTGTGAAAAGAAAAAAAAAAAAAAAAAGACCCTCTAACCTATCCTATTATCAAGGATATGAAAAGGCCAGGTGTGATGACTCACACCTATAGTCCCAGGACTTTGGGGTGACAAGTGGGAGAATCACTTGAGGCCAAGAGTTCACGACCAGCCTGGGCAACACATAGAAACCCCATCTCTACAAAAAAATTAAAAACTAGCTGGACATGGTAGTACACAACACAGTCATGATGCAGAACAATTCAGTCACAAGGATCCCATCAGAGAATATTATGAATGCTTCTGTGCACATAAACTAGAAAATCTAGAATAAATGGATAAATTACTGAACACATACATCCTCCCAAGACTGAACCAGGAAGAAATAAAATCCCTGAACAGACCAATAAAGAGTTCTGAAATTGAGGCAGTAATAATAGCTTACCACCCCCTAAAAAAGCCCAGGACCAGATGAATTCATGGCTGAATTCTGCCAAATGTAAAAAGAAGAGCTGATACCATTCCTACTGAAAATGTTCCAAAAAATTTAGGTGGAGGGACTCCTCTCTGACCCATTCTATGAGGCCAGAATAATCCTGATACCAAAACCTGGCAGAGATACAACAACAAAAAAACTTTGGGCCAGTATCCTTGATGAACAAATATGATACAAATATCCTCAGCAAAATCCTGGCAAACTGAATTCAGCAGCACATCAAAAAGCTTATCTACCATGATCAAGTAGGCTTTATCCTCAGGATGCAAGTTTGGCTCAACAGATGTAAATCAATAAATGTGATTCATCACATAAACAAAAGCACTTGCTTATCTCAATAGATGCAAAAAGTCTTTCAATAAAATGCAACATCCACTCATGATCAAAACTCTCAACAAACAAGGTATTAAAGGAACACACCTCAAAATAATAAAAGCCATCTATGACAAACTTACAGCTAACATTATACTGAATGGGCAAAAGCTGGAAGCATTCCCCTTGAAAACTGGCACAAAACAAGGATGGAATCAACCTAAATGCCCATCAATGATAGACTGGATAAAAAAAAAATGTGGTACATAGACACCATGGAATACTATGCAGCCATAAAAAAAATGAGATCATGTCCTTTGCAGGGACATGGATGGAGCTGGAGGCCATTATGCTTAGCAAACTAACTCAGGAACAGAAAACTAAATACTGCATGTTCTCACTTATAAGTGGGAGCTAAATGATGAGAACACATGGATACATAGAGGGGAACAACACACACTGGGGCCTATTAGAGGGTGGAGAGTGGGAGGAGGGAGACAGTCATTAAAAATAACTAATGGGTACTAGGCTTAATACTTGGGTAATGAAATAATCTGTATAACAAATGCCCATGACACAAGTTTCCTATGGAACAGACCTGCACTTACACCCCTGAACTTAAAATAAAAGTTTTAAAAAGTTAAAATAAAATAAACCTGCCTTACTCTAGCCGGCAGTTGTTCCATTGAAGTTTAGCATGATAGTATTGGTCTACTTTTGTGAGCTGTGGTTCCAGGAGCGGTTTAATATTCAGAGTGTTTGTAGTATTATTTTGGTCGGCTTGATTTATGTGAAGCTTCTGGGGCTCCCACTGGCCCCTGCTTCTGCTGCTTGAGGGAGTGAAAGTGGTTTTTCAAGATCAGACTGCCAGGTCGGGAAGAGTGTGGTGGTTTCCTGTACCAATGCCCTCTAGTGGCCCAGTGTCTCTGGGCGCTGGGAAGACAGTCTTGGGCACAAAGTACAAAAGAGGCTTCCTGGGCCAGGTCACTTGCTGTGATTGGGTCCCTTTCTGCTATATCTATTTGCTTCTGTGTCTCTAGGTTTGAAGGTAGAGCCTCAGGCTCACAGACACAAAGAGGCTTCCCAGACACAGAGTGAACTACATTTCTTTTTTGATATGATTGACATCCAAAGAATTTAAGAAATTTGTTTGAAATGATACCAAAAGTGTAATGCTGAGTGAGGATTAAAGCTTAGGTCTCTAGCAGCCAGCCTGGGGCTCCTTTTACTAAATAAATGGCATGTGAAGCAATGCATAATTAATCATTAAAAGATTAACTCATGGTCTGTTTTTAATCTTAAAACAGACATCAAAACATTTTAAGTAATTTTTCAACAAATACTGATGTGAAGAGTTTGCCACCTAACTTGCTTAACATTCTAGTATACAGAAAAATCAATTGACAAGAAGCTTTTGCCAAATATTTTAGTTAACTGATAATCCCCAGAAACATTATTTGAACTCTATGTTACTCTGAGCAAAAAATTAACAGAGACCTGAGAACTTCAGTTTCTTTCTCTGTAAAGTGAGATAATACCTATACTTCAGAAAGATAACACAGGCATTTGCGTGACAATAAATGCTCAATAAATGATAATTATTATTTGCAGAAACAAAATAATATCCATTATACAGGTTAAAATTTCTACAGTTTCTTAATACTTACTACCTGACTTATTTTGTGTGATGCTTGGTTTTGGTTGTCCATTCATTACTTTTGCTACATGAATTTATATTGCCTTATCTGAGTTGTGTTGAACTCCACAAAAATTACATACTGGGCCAATTTCTCTACTGAAAATACACTCATATCAAATCAGTTTAAAATTAACACCATGTTCACCTTGAAATGGAAAATAAGTTTTAAAAGATCACTGGAAACGTGTGCTGGGGTAGAGAGGGCCACTTCTACCTCTCTGCCTTCATGACAGGAGAGAGAGCTGAAGGCCAAGGATTTATATGCATCCTTAGGGACTAGAAAGTATCTGTTTTCTTAAATTATTTTATAACCAAAAATTTAACTGTGTTTGAATGCTGACAAAACTGTAAAATCAATTTAAAACTTAAACAAAAATCTAGAAAGCCAAAAACATTAAAGTAAAAAAAAATGTTAATTGAATGGGACATCTGTAGTTCACTAAACTTGAGTCTCTACTTGCCGTGTGAATGGGGCATCATCCACTAGAGAGCATGGTTCTTTGGAGTTCAAGTTTTTTTTTTTTGTTTTGTTTTTGTTTTTGTTTGTTTACTTGCTCGTTTTCTTACAAAGGCAGAAGGTAGATATGAGAGCTACATTCTTCTTTCTCATCCCTTCCCCAAATAATCACATGGCCAAGAACAGCATGGAGTCTTGGCAGGGGTAGTACTCAGTGAGGCTGGATATGCTTATCCAGCTGATTTTGAACAGAAAACGTAAAAGTAACAAGTACAGAATCAGAGTCATCATGTAGTAAAAAGACCTTTCCGTAGGGTGAGAGCAGGAAGGGAGAAGGTGCAGTTCAAAATCTGGATTCACAGGCTTCACCTACCTTTGCCCAGACAGCAGCTGACAGTCCAAGAACAGGACTGATGGCCAAAATCACAAGGGTTAGCTTCCAACCACGTGTAAATCCTACTATAAACCCAGTGAAAAATGTTGCCATTGACTGAAAGAACATTCCAATTTTGTCACCAATTCCTTCATTAATCTTGGAGACATCACTGAAAGAACAGATAGTGTTAGAAATAATTGTCAGAATTGTAAACATCAACTTTTCTCGTGAAGCCTGTTTTGAGTGTAGGGTAGTTTATGGCTAGAGTATTTTGTGCCTATGCTTTGTTTTATTTAGCAGGGTAGAAGTTTCTACTAGGATATTTGTCATTAACAACAAAAATCCATAGCCCACATGGCCCCAGGAAATGGACATCGTGTACACAAGAAGTATTCAACCTAGGAATTTCAAATTGCTCAGAAATTTCCTCAGAAAGTATCTTGTTTTGCTCTACTGCACATTCTCAGAGGATTTCTTCATTCTGGCAAAGCCCAGTCCTTCATTTAATGCTAGTCATGCAGGTCCCCCCATACCCTGTCAAGGCACTGGGAACAAAAGGATGCACACGACATTGTTGCTGCTTAGAAGGAATTTTGTCTCATAAGTACCTTTGAATGATACATTAACACCTCCTAACAGATGTGATGACATCTATTTCATTTTACTAAGGATAAGAACGACACCCAAGTTCAACATAAAACTAAATACTTACTCTGTAAGTCGGGTGTTAAGCTCCCCAACATCGTGCACATCAAACCAGCCTATCTCCTGTCGCATTATAGCATGAAAAAACTGTTTTCTAATTTTGTGTATTTGTCTTCCAGCTGCCAGGCACCAAAATGAAACCTGAATGTAAGCAGCAACCAGCACCCCAGCACCAATTCCACTGTAATAATAGGCATACCTGAAAAACAACAAGAACACTGCACATGCTCTCTGTTTCCTAATCAATGTACCTTTTCCAAAGAGACCACTCATTCCTATTTTTTCACTTATCTGGGTATCTCGCCATCCTTAACAAATAAGAAGGGGTTGTAACAAGCAGAGTTGATAGTCACCATCCAACTATGTTTGCACCAATATGGTGGAATGGTTAAGAATGATTTCTGCTTTGGCTCAAATCCCAGCTCTTCACTTCACTGTTATGTAATCTTAGGCAAGCTGCTTAACTTTTCTAAGCCTCAGTTTTCTAATTAGTAAAACAGAGATAAAAATACTCATGCATGAAATATACTTGGACCAGTGCCCAGCACATAGTAAGCACTCAGAGAATGCCAGTTACTGTGAAAGATGGTGTGGTATATTGGGGAATCACAGCATCAGGTAAGACCCACCACTGTAATATTTTTATTACATCAGCATCAGTTGATAAGTGCATTGGGTTGGTCTCTGTACATTGGGGATGAAAAGAAGTGACAGAACTTGTCAGAAAGTGGGATCAAGAAATGGAAATAATCCCTTGGCCTTTTGGGCTAGGGATTATCCCTTGGGCTATTAATCTAGTAGAGTTTAGATGCCAAGAGACAAATGAAATTTTTAAAAAGTAGTTTTATTTCATTTGCCCAACTGGCCATCGTGAGTTATCCTAAAATGCTTAACGAATCAAATAGTGGCCCTTCCAATTTAAATTCTAGCATTAAAAAACACGAGTATTGTCTTAAAAAACAGACCCTTAATCAATCTAGAAATCCTGAATTAATGTTTCCTTGCTCTGAGTTTTCATATTTAAAAAAGCAAACAGGCCAGGCGTGGTGGCTCACGCCTATAATCCCAGCACTTTGGGAGGCCGAGGCAGACAGATCACAAGGTCAGGAGTTGGAGACCACCCTGGCCAATATGATGAAACCCTGTCTCTACAAAAAATACAAAAAAATTAGCCAAGCGTGGTGGCGTGCGACTGTAGTCCCAGCTACTTGGTTACTTGGGAGGCTGAGGCAGAAGAATCGCTTGAGCCCAGGAAGCAGAGGTTGCCGGGAGCCGAGATCGTGCCACTGCACTCCAGCCTGGGTGACAGAGCTGGACTCCATCTCAAAAAAAAAAAAAGAAAAGCAAACAATTCACACCTGTAATCCCAGCACTTCGGGAGGCCAAGGTGGGCGGATCATGAAGTCAGGAGTTCGAGACCAGCCTGACCAAAGTGGTGAAATCCCGTCTCTACTAAAAATACGACAATAATAATAATAATAATAATAATAAAAATTAGCCGGGTGTGGTGGTGCACACCTGTAATCCCAGCTACTCAGGAGGCTGAGGCAGGAGAATCGCTTGAAGGCAGAAGTTGCAGTGCACAGAGATCGTGCCACTACACTCCAACCTGGGTGACAGAGTAAAACTCCATCTCAAAAAAAAAAAATGCAAACAATTCTTGGGCTTCACTAAACAATTAATTTTTAGGTTAAAGGCAAACATTCTAAAATAAAATACAGTATTCCAATATTCCCACTTTTTAAACTTCACTACTTACCATCTTCAAATTAAACTGTGTGTTTGAATCATGCAGAAGCTATAAAGATGGCTAGGTAACAAGCAGACAGTCTCTGACATTGCTGTTCACAATTCAGCACTCAGCCCATCAGGAATCTTGGGAAACAAGTTTTCCCCAAACTCTACCTTGTAACTTACAATGCATTTATCAAGGAAGATGTAATTAGAACACTAAGTTTTAGTTAACAGATAACTCAATAACTAATTACTATCTAAGTGTTCATGATACAACAAGAGATAGTATTCTATCTAAGTGTTCATTATATAGCAAGAGATAGCTAATAGAAACCCCACATCACAAGGAAAACTCATGCTTTGAGAATAAGTTAATGTATTTTAAACTGTCAGTGTATGTTTACTCAAAAGCATGTACATGATGATTAAAAGACATTCTGTTTCATTTTCCCCAATGTAAAAAACAATGCCTCTCCACAGGAATATTTGGAGGTATTTGGTCCTCAGCTTTCAAAATATGATAAAGTGTCTCCATTTTCGGCAGGGCATGGCGGCTCACACCCGTAATCCCAGCACTTTGGAAGGCCAAGGTGGGTGGATCACCTGAGGTCAGAAGTTCAAGGCCAGCCTGGGTAACATGGTGAAACCCCATCTCTACTAAAAATACAAAAATTAGCTGGGTGTAGTGACACACGCCTGTAATCCCAGCCACTTGGGAAGCTGAGACACAAGAATCGCTTGAAGCCAGGAATCGAAGGTCGCAGTGAGCCGAGATCGCACCACTGCACTCCAGCCTGGGGGACAGAGTGACACTCTGTCTCAAAAAAAAAAAAAAAAAAAAATCTATTTTTTTCAAATGTACCCAGATCATTTACACAGTAATGTAAAATCATTTTCTTCTGATTCACCTACACGTACCTTTGGACATCTGTTATAAGCTGTTCTGGAGAATAAACTTCAAGATATGTAAATCATTAACCAAAAGCTTCCCCAGTGTGAGTTAAGAATAGAGAGACTGTATTTTTTCTGGGATGTTTTATTTTATTGTTCAGAATCAGATGTTGAGTTTAAAAAAAATTTCTTTTGGCTGCTTTCATTGTCATGTCGTATGAAAACATCCAGGAAACAAATTAATAATTATAAGCCATTGAAAATAATTATTCTGTCTCTCTCTTTTTTTGTGGGGGGGTGTGGGGGACAGGGTCCTGCTCTTTCCCCCAGGCTGGAGTGCAGTGATGTGATCATAGCTCACTGCAGCTTTGAACTCCTGGGCTCAAGCAATCCTCTCACATCAGCCTCCCAAGTAGCTAGGACTGTAGCTATGTGCCACCACACCTGGCACATATATATTATAGAAAATAATGATTCTTAATTCAACTGCATTTTAAAAGACTACCTTAAACTCCTCTAATTTCCTTATATATTAATATGATATTCTACATTGATCAATGCATATATGTCCATTTTAAGCTTAACTCTAACTTTTGTATACTTTATGCAGCCAATTCTTTTCTTAAAAAGTCTACATATACTCTTCTAAAAACTATCAAGAGTATTGTTCTCCTTAAAATTTCTGTGATGATAATGCAAAGTTTTAAACATTTCTACAACTTGATGAATATAGAAAAACTTAACAATAGTAAGGAGAATGTCTAATTACCTGGTCATGTCTTCCTCCAGATTCATGAAGAACCCTGTATCATTGATATCACCTAGACCACCACAAAACAAACATACCATTTATGTCTCTTTAGTCTCCATTAAAAATAAACATGTAAAAATGAATCAAACTCATTTCATTTAATGATTTACATAAAAATAGGTCGAACTGACTCAGTTTTAATTGTGTGTAAGCATTATGGCATTCATTCAAATACTTCTCTGCTGACTGTGTGCAACCACATATACACCAACTCAGTGATGTTTATTTGCAAGAAGAAACCCACATTTGGTAAGAGGTAGTCTGTCAGCAGAAATATCAGTGTCCTTGAATTAAAATATTTTTTGGAATATCACTCCAAGATCCCACTAAAGAAAAATCTTTTGTCCTGATAAATGCCATTGAGTACTTGGTACTAAGGTATATATTTAAAATCTTAGCATTTTTCCAGTTTTATTCTTATTTAAAAATATCAAATACAAAGAACAGTGTAATAAACACCAGTGAGCTCATCACCCAATATTAGCAAATGCTAACATTTTTGGATAAAAAGTACATTATAAAAGTATTTCATAACTTTACCCCTAACACACAGACACACACACACACACTCAGACACATATACACACACGAGCACAATTCAACATTTTTGTGTGTACATTTTCAGATTTTATGTACGCATGTATATACACACAAGCACACACACTTATTTTTTAACAATGGAGTCATAGTTTACATTTAGTGGCCAAATTTTTTCCTGTCAGTATATATATGTGTGTATCTATTTTTTCAATGTTGCAACTATTTCACTTGTTTCCAATATTTTACTGTTACAAGCAATGCTGTGTTAAACATACTTATACACATATGTTATAAATGTACAAAGAGTAAATATTTTCTAGGATAAATTATCACAATCGAGACTGCAAAAAGTTATGTTAAAATGAAAGGGCCTGTTTCAGTTGAGTCTGATTTCAACTGGTATGGAAAAGAGGGGAAAAACTATTTCTAGCAAAGTGAACAATATGGACAAAAGTCAACGGCAAGTTTGAAGAATGGGTAAGCCTGTTTTTGACAGGGGTAGGAAGTGTGTTGTGTGGATGGAGGGAGGTGGTTATGTAGCTGGAAAGATAATCTGGGTCCTGCAGGTATGGTGCAAGAAAACAGACCAGCAGTTGTTCGACAGTTTTGAGCAAAATAGGATATAATTAGAAGTATGTTCTACGAGAGTTTAGCCACCAGCAATGTATACGATTAACTGGAATGTGGAGAGACTAAGGGACTTCAGCTACTATAACTATGTAGGGAAAGAGAGTCTAAATGAGAATAGAAAAGAAAGCAAATACTTATGAGACTTATAGAGGAAGAAGTTACAGGACTTAGCAACTGATAGAATATAAGTAGAGAGAGTAAAAATTTTAAAAATGATCAAAACATCAAGCCTAAGCATTTGGAGAATGCTAGTGTCATGGTGGGAAATAAGAAGTCAGCAAAAAGAGCTACCCTGGTCAGAGGAGAGATTATTAGTTTGGTCTTGAACATTTTTGTTTTGCAGTGCCTGGCACATTCAATTGAAGATGTCCAATAAGTATTCAGACCGTAACTTTCCAGTTTTAGAGACAGTTCAGATCTAAAGATTTAGGATTCATGTGCTAGAGGCCATAGCTAAATCCATCTCTCCTTACCCATAAGGACAGGCCAGCAGATAGGGAGAAAACAGCAGGCCAAGCACAGAATCCTGGAGAAAACTCCATTAAAGGGTAAGACAGAAGGTAAGGAAGAAACAAAGAGATGCAGAAGCTTAGAAAAACATGCAAGAGGGATTCTTGACTGCTTTGCCTTATGTCAATACAACAATAAACTTTTTCAGATTGAATTTTTATTTAAATCAGTTGTGAGATTTCTTCTGCTCCACGTTTTCAAAAATGAAACAGGACATTGAATAGTCAGGTGAGGATTTTTCTCCAAATCAATCTTGGGAAAGCTTACATTATGTATCTTCTGTATTTACCAGGAAATGTCTCTATATAGTATTAATTGTTGCCAGTATGTCACTACCAAATGAAGACCAGTTTTCAAGTCTAACTAAATATCTGTTTTCTACTCATTGTTTCTACCAGTTTTCTCAATTCTTAAGATAAGAAACCAAGATAATTTAAATAAATGTTCTTCAGCAATGATGTCTTCTAAGTCTACAGTCATTTCTAAATAGCTCAAAAAGTAAAAAATTTTGTTCAAGGTCAAAATTGCCTCCTTTATGTTTGTATGTCCAATTACACCATACCTATAGCTTCAGCCATCAAAATACATAGAAAACAAGTCTAGCACCAAGTTCCTTTTATTTGTGCTTCACCTTTCAAAGTGTACCAGTCAAAATAAAAATTGGGCATTCAACAAAGAAGTATAAATAATTCTATTATAAAGACACATGCATGCATATGTTCATTGTAGCACTATTCACAAAAGCAATAAACCTAAATGCCAATCAATGACAGACTGGATAAAGAAAATGTGGTACATAGATGCCATGGAATACTATGCAGCCATAAAAAAGAATGAGATCATGTCCTTTGCAGGGACAGGGAGGGGGCTGGAGGCCATTATCCTTAGCAAACTAACACAGGAAGAGAAAACCAAATACCACGTTTTCACTTATAAGTAGGATCTAAATGATGAGAACACATGGACACACAGAGGGAAACAACACACACTGGAGACTTTTGGAGTGTGGAGGGTGGGGGGAGGGAGAGAATCAGGAAAAATAACTAGTGGGTACTAGGCTTAATACCTGGGTGATGAAATAATCTCTACACAAAAACCCCATGACACACATTTACCTATGTAACTATATTAGTCTATTCGTATGCTGCTGATAAAAACATACCTGAGACTGGGTAATTTATAAAGAAAAAGAGGTTTAATGCACTCATAGTTCCACATGGCTGGGGAGGCCTCACAATCATGGCAGAAGGCAAAGGAGGGGCAAAGGCATGTCTTACATGACGACAGTCAAGAGGGCACATGCAGGGGAACTCCCATTAATAAAACCATCATCCTTTATGCAGTGGACTGTCATTGAAGGTTATCACCAGTTTGTAGGACCTCATTATCCTGGTTCTCCTACTTCCACCACTCTGATGCTTCTCCCTTAGTCTCAGTTACTGACCCCTTATGCTCTCCCTCTTTCCTACACACTGATGTTTCCCAGAACTCTATGCAGGCTCCAGGCTGACCTCAGCCACTTCCACAGCTTCAGTGACTCCAAAATATATCTAGAGCTATTCAAATCCTCTCCCTCTTCACAGTTAATGCTCTGGTTCAAGTCCCCATCATTTCTTACCTCTCCTGTAACAAGACTACTGTAACTAATCTTTCTACCCCAGTTAGGTCTTCATATTGTCCCCAGATTTTATATTTGAAAGCAAAAGTATAATCATAGTGCTTCCATTGATAACCTTCAATGACAGTCCACTGCATAAAGGATAAAGATCAAGATCCATGATACATCATATTAGTTCTTTTGCAATCTTGCCACAATATACACATGAAAGAAAATATGTTTAAAGTACCAACAATGATTTACCAGATATTTCCTTTACCCCCACACCTATCTCCTCATTTCAGTAGCTAGAGCACTGTGCAGTCACTGTCTTCAGAGAGAGCTGCTGCTGCATTAAAAAAATTTATATATGTAATAAAAGCCAAGAAGAAACCTACACGATATATATATATAAAATGTTCCCAAAGCCTATGCCTTTGAGGGTTGGAGAGGAAACTGAGCATGACAGAATATTTTGTTTAAATTTCATGAGATTAAGCTCCACCCTTTAGACTGAAAAAATATTTTCCACATGCTGAGAAGAAAATAAGTAGTTGAGAATTGCTGACTACATAGGCACTGGAGGGTCCAGGTAAAAGAAGCCTGCCTCCTTCCACCTAAGCAGACCCTAGAGCAAGACCTCAGAAAAGGAAATATGTAGTGAGTTGAAGGGACGGCTTTAGAACAGCTTCCAAGAATCTCCTTGGACCTAGAGAGACACGGAAGGAACAGAATGACATCAAAGCTTCTAAGAGAGGAGGACGAGAGAGCTTGACGGAATGCCTATGTAGATGATGATGCTGAACAACACTTGGCCTTCTCACTCATCTGAAACTATGTTGGCCTCCAAGACACACCCCAGGGAAAGGTGAGAGCTACCCCAAAATAACTGAGATTGGGTTTTTGCCACATTTACTGAAGAGGGACTCAAAATAGAAATTATGTTATACAAAATAAAAGTTATGATTTTTGCACACTTGGATTCTGGAATAATAGTTACATTTGCTACATCCCTTTCTAGCGTCAACTCACTCCACTCCCCCATCCCCATCTTCACCAGCTTTGCTCACTTCTGTGTAGCCCTGGCTGTAAGCACACCGAAGAGTTTACTGTTCCCTAACTATCCTATTTTCTTCCTTCAAGGCTTTATCCATTCTGCTTTCTCTAACTGGAATGCCCTTTATCAAAATTTTTCTCCTGGAATATACTCTTCCTCCATGAATAAACTAAAGTATTACATCATCTTACCCCTAGCAGAGTGACTCATCTTGCAATAGAACTCCGTAGTAATTGACAGATGATTCAACTTACTAAGTCATACAAAAATAGAAGTATGACTATTTACACCTATCTCTTCCTCCCACTCCCACTGGTGTGAGGTCATAGAAAACTGAACTATATCTAGTTTATCTTTATATATCCAGTGCCCAACCTGTTGTATCTGCTATAACTTAGCATATTCAAAAAATTTACGAGTGGTTTCACAGAGCTACTACACAAGCCAGACCATTTATCAAAATATTCCATCCAACCATTCTCCTACTTTGTATACAAGTGTCTCACATATTTTAAGATTAAAGAGAGATACATTAGACCTTTCTACCTGGCAAGAAAAGCCTTTTCTAAACCCAAGCAAGACTTTAAAGGATAAGACTGTACCATTTAGGGATTTTTTATTTGACCTAAATACTTCAGTACATTTAGTAACTTTAATAACTGAACACTTAAGAACAGTATGAATAAAAAATATATAACATGGATACATTAGTATAGTCTTATCCTTTGATGATGCATTGATAATTCCCTAATTGGTAAACTGAAATTATATTGAAAAGGTGGTTTTCAAACTGTCTTCCACAGAGACTTCATGCCAGGCATCATTCCAGACACTGAAGATAAACCCAGAATGAGAGCCACTTTCTCTAATATCATCGGATTTCTGTTCAAGTAAGAAATCCTTTCACTTTTAGGCCTCAAACTTCAGGTGACAGGGTAACACTGCTGACCTATTTAGCACAGTTTTTCCCAGGAACTTCCGTTTTTTTTTCATTTAGCTTTTCTACCCATTTAAGAAGCTCTAATAAACCAATAAACTACTCTTCTTGTGCAGAAAGCTCCATCAACCGCAGGGAAGGGGAATTTGGATCTTTTGCCTAAATGATAAATCCCTATGGCATTGGCCCAAACTGAAGGCTGTGACTCAGTGTAGTTGGGCTTACTGCAGGTGACAGAGATGATTCCAGGAACTACAGTCTTTTTATGTGAGCTGTTTATATACCTCTGGCCTGAAGAGCTGTGCCTCTTGCCTGACCTTCCTGACACACTAAAAATCAAACTTACAGGGCAGCATCCAAGAGATTTAAAAGACCAAGTGCTGGCATTTGCTTCCAATTTAGGCAGAGTGTGAAAACCACTAGCAGAGTGGAAAAGATACCAGACTAAAAAGTAGGATTCCTGGCCCAGGAATTCAGCTCTGTCAACCCGCAAGCAATTCCATTATGGCCACATTAATTCAACCTCCTGGGCATGTATGTCTATAAATTATGGGTTCAGGCTAGATAACATCTAAGCCCCTTTTCACCTACAAAATTCTATTATTCAGTCTTTTATTTATTCATCCAATTTCTTAAGCACCTAGAATGGGTTAGGTACTATCTGTATATTGATCTTTTTTTTTTTTGCTGTTTTTCTAATATATTGCAGAGATTACATTGTAACTAATTCTACTTTTTGGCTTGAAAACCCTTAACCAAAAATATTATTATACCATATATTATTATGGTCTTAGAAAACTGTACTATATTTTGTTTATCTTTATATATCCAGTGCCCAACCTGTTGTATCTGCTATAACTTAACCTATTCAAAAAATTTGCAAATGGTTTCACAGAGCTATACATATACACACACACTATATATAAGTGTGTGTGTAAGTATATATTATATATAAAATATAATTATATGTAAGTATATATAGATACTTTTACACACATATATAATAGTATTAATCTCATGTGTATTTAAGAATTAAAAGAGTTACTGCATGTAAAGCTCCAAGAACAAGACCCAGCAAATAGTAAATGTTCAATGAGGGTTGGCTTCAGTTATTGCTAACAGTTGAGTTCTTCCTCAAGGCTTGGGGCTCCCATTCTTTCTACTTTTCTCCATATTCTATCCCAGAGGATTTAACATCACATTCAACTTAAATAAAGCCAAGTTGATAGTCCTGGTTTTTTTAGTTTTATTTTTAAATTTATTTAATTTTAATTTTAATTTATTTTTAATTTGGGTGGTACATAGTAGATGTATATATTTACAGGGTGTATGAGATATTTTGACATAGGCATACAATGGATAATAATCACATTAGGGTGAATGGGGTATCTATCACCTCAAAAATTTATCCTTTCTTTGTGTTACAAACAATCCAGTTATACCCTTTTAGTTATTTTTAAATGTGCAATAAATTGTTGTTGACTGTAGTCACCCTGTTGTGTGATCAAATACTAGATGATATTCATTCTAGCTAACTATATATTTTTGTATCCTTTAACCATCTCCACTTCTACCTCTGCCACCCCACTACACTTCCCGGCCTCTGGTAAATGTCATTCTACTATCTCTATAAGTCCAATTGTTTTAATTTTTTAGCTCCCACAAATAAGTGAGAAATGTGAAGTTCGTCTTTCTGTGCCTGGCTTATTTCACTTAATATAATCTCCTCCAGTTCCATTTTTGTTGTTGCAAATGACAGGATCTCATTTTTTTAAGGATGAATAGTACTCCATTGTGTGTATGTATCATAATTTCTTCATCCATTTACTTGCTGATGGACACTTAGGTTGCTCCCAAATCCTGGCTATTGTGAATAGTGATGCAAGAAACATGGGAGTGCAGGTTCGATATACTGGTTTCCTTTCTTTTGAGTATTTCCCCAGCAGAGGGATAACTGGATCATATGGTAGTTTAATTTTCCATTTTTTGAGGAACCCCCATACTGTTCTCCATCATGGTTGTACTAATTTACATTCTCAAAAATGTACAAGTTGTACAACAGTGTACAAGGGTTTTCTTTTCTCCACATCCTCGCCAGCATTTGTTATTGCCTATCTTTGGCTAAAAGCCATTTTAACTGGGGTGAAATGATATCGCATTATAGTTTTGACTTGCATTTCTCTGATGATCAATGATGTTGAGCATATTTTCATATACCTGTTTGCCATTTGTATAGCTTCTTTTGAGAAATGTCTATTCAGATCTTTTGCCCATTTGTTAATTGGAGATTTTTCCTATTGAGTTGTTTGAGTTCCTCATATATTCTGGTTATTAATCTGATGTCAGATGGATAGCTTGCAAATACTTTCTCCCATTTTGCAGGTTGTCTCTTCACTTTGCTGATTGTTTCCTCTGCAGTCCAGAAGGTTTTTAACTTGATGTGATCCATTTGTCCATTTTTGTTTTGGTTCCCTGTGCTTGTAGGGGTATTACTCAAGAAATCTTTGCCCAATCTAATGTCCTAGAGAGTTTTTCCAGTGTCTTCTTTTAGTAGTTTCATAGTTTCAGGTCATAGATTTAAGTCTTTAATCCATATTGATTTTATTTTTGTATATGGTGAGAGAAAGGGATTTAGTTTCATTTTTATGCATATGGATATCCAGTTCTCCCACCACCATTTTTTGAAGAGACGGTCTTTTCCCCAATATACATTCTTAGAAACTTTGTCAAAAATGAGTTCACTGTAGATTTGTGGATTTATGTCTGCATTCTCTATTCTGTTCCATTGGTCTATGTGTCTCTTTTCTTTGTACCATGGTGTTTTGGTTACTAGCTCTGTAGTATAATTTGAAGTCAGGTAATGTGATTTCTCCAGTTTTGTTCTTTTTGCTGAGGATAGCTTTGGCTATTCTGTTTTTTTCGTGGTTCCATGTAAATGTTAGGATTCTTTTTTCTATTTCTGTGAAGAATGTCACTGGTATTTTGATAGCGATTGCACTGTCTGTAGATTGCTTTGGTAGTATGGACATTTTAAAAATATCCATTCTTCCAATCAATGAACATGGAGTATCTTTCCATTTTTTGTGTCCTCTTCAATTTTTTACATCAATGTTCTACAGTTTTCATTGTAGAGATCTCTCATTTATTGAGTAAAAGTTATTCCTAGGTATTTATTTCATGTGTAGCAATAGTAAATGAGACTACTTTCTTTTTTTTTTTTTTTTTTTGAGACGGAGTCTCGCTCTGTCGCCCAGGCTGGAGTGCAGTGGCGGGATCTCGGCTCACTGCAAGCTCCGCCTCCCGGGTTCACGCCATTCTCCTGCCTCAGCCTCCCAAGTAGCTGGGACTACAGGCGCCCGCCACCACGCCCGGCTAATTTTTTGTATTTTTAGTAGAGACAGGGTTTCACCGTTTTAGCCGGGATAGTCTCGATCTCCTGACCTCGTGATCCACCTGCCTCGGCCTCCCAAAGTGCTGGGATTACAGGCGTGAGCCACCGCGCCCGGCCGAGATTACTTTCTTGATTACCTTTTCAGATTGTTTGCTGTCACCATGTAGAAATGCTACTGATTGTTGTATGTTGATTTTGTATCTTGCAACTTAACTGAATTCATTTATCACTCCTAATAGTTATTTGTTGGAGTCTTTAGGTTTTTCCAAATATAAGATTGTATCATCTGCCAACAGGGATAATTTGACTTCTTCCTTTCCAATTCAGATGCCTTTTTTTTTCTTTCTCTTGTCTGATTGCCCTCGCTAGGACTTTCAGTATTATGCTGAATAACTAGTGAAAGTGAGCATCCTTGTCTTGTTCCAGATCTTGAAGGAAAGGCTTTCAGTTTTTCCTCATTTGGTGTGATACTAGCTGTGGGTCTGTTTATGTGGCTTTTATTTTGTTTATGAATGTTCCTTCTATACCCAGTTTTTATCATGAAGGGTGGTGAATTTTATCAAAGGCCTTTTCATCATCAACTGAAATTATCATATATTTTATATCCTTCATTCTGTTGATATGACATATCACATTGATTAGTTTGCATACGATGAACAATCCTTGCATCCCTGGGATAAACCCCATTTGGTCTTAAATAATATTTTAATGTGTTTTTTTTAATCCATTCAGCCACTCTATGTCTTTTGATTAGAGAATTTAGTCCATTTAGATTCAATGTTATTATTGATAAGTGAAGACTTACTCCTGCCATTTTGTTTGTTGTTTTTTGTGATCTTCTCTTCCTTCTTTCGTTCTTTCTTGTCTTCCTTTTAGTGAAGGTGATCTTCTCTGGTGGTATGTTTTAATGTCTTGCTTTTAATTTTTTATGTATCTGCTGTATGTTATTTTATTTGAGGTTACCATCAGGTGTGCAAATGATATCATATAACTCATTTTTAAACTGATGGCAACTTAATGCTGATTACATACACAAACAAGCAAAGGGAAAACTAATACAAACTCTACACTTTAACTTCAGCTCCCTACTTTTTATATCTGTATCTGTTTATATCTTATTAGACTGTGTCTTGAACAGTTATTGTAGTTATTATTTTTTATAGGTTCATTTTTTAGCCTTTCTACTCAAGATATGAGTAAGTTATACACCACAATTACAGTGTTGTAATATTCTGTGTTTTTCTGAGTACTTATTATTACCAGTGAGTTTTGTACCTTCAGATGATTTCTTATTGTTCATTAACATCATTTTCTTTCTGATTAAAGAACTCCCTTTAGCATTTCTTGTCTAGACAGGTCTGGTGTTGAATAAATCCCTCAGCTTTTGTTCATCTGAGAAAGTATTTATTTCTCCTTCATGTTTGAAGGATATTTTCATTGGATATTCTATTTTAGGATAAAAAGTGTTTTTCTTTCAGCACTTTAAATATGTCACGCTACTCTCTTCAGACCTGTAAAGTTTCCACTGAGAAGTCTGCTTCCAGACATGTTGGAGCTCCTTTGTATGTTATTTGTTCCTTTTCTCTTGCTCCTTTTAGGATCCTTTCTTTATCCTTGACTTTTGGGAATTTGATTGTTAAATATCTTGAGGTAGTCTTATTTGAGTTAAATATGCTTGGTGTCCCACAACATTCTCGTACTTGAATACTGATATCTTTCTTTAGGCTTGGGAAATTCTGTGTTATTACCCTTTTAAATAAACTTTCTACTCTAATCTCTCTGTCTACCTCCTATTTAAGGCCAATAACTCTTGGATTTACCCTTTTAAGGCTATTTTGTAGGTCTTGTGGGCATGCTTCATTCTTTTTTCTTTTGTCTCCTCTGAGTGTGTGTATTTCAAATAGCCTGTCTTCAAGCTCACTAATTCTTCCTTCTGCTTGATCAATTTTGCTATTAAGAGACTGTGATTCATTCTTCAGTATGTGCTGCTGGTGGGGGAGGGGAAGAGTGGTGCAGGCAATTCAAGACTCTCTTTCCTACCTTCTTCAGTGCCTCTTTCCTTAATATAATGTTAAAACCAAATAGTGTGGTCGCTCACCTGGTTTTTAGTTCTTATGAAGGTGCTTTGTTTTGTGAATAGTTGTTCAATTTGGTGTTCCTGTAGGGATGGGGGAGGGGGGGATGATTTCTGGAGGCTTTTGTTTGGCTATCTTGTTCCACCTCCTCCTTACATTTTATCATTTTTTAACCTTTTAAGTTTTATTAGAGACAAACTCTCACTATCTTGCCCAGGCTAGCCTTGAACTTCTGACCTCAAGTGATCCTCCCACCTCAGCCTCTCCAATAGCTGGGACTGCAGGCACACACCACCACACCCAGCTTCTAGTCCTGTTCTTTATGCCAAGATTTAGTGTCATTTCTTCAACTGCCTGGATGTCATTTTACAGGCACCCCACCTGCCGTCTTCACCACAACACATTTAAAACCACAATCGCCTTTATCTAGGATCATTTCCAGATAGTGGCCAGTCTCATAAGGAAGATGAGAATTCACAGAATATTACAGAAATTCATCAGTGATTAAGCTTTGTTTACAAAAAAAAAAGTGATATGACAGAATCAGAGAGTTCCCTAGGCTCCAGTCATCAGAGATTTTAAGGCAAAGGCTACACATATTCTATAATTAAACCAGAGATAGATGGGAGTGGCTGTCAGGAAATCTGGTCCACAGTAAAACAGCAGAACAAAAGCTGATGTCTGTTAATTAAGGCAAAGTATTGGGACGAGAAAACTTACAAGGGTTCTATTGCAGCAACAGAGAAGGATCTGCTTACTGAAGAAGGTTTTAGAGCTGTCTAATTAGATCCTATGTTTATTGTAAAAACCCCCAGGCTTTCAAGAGCCTCCGCAAGTCCAAGTCCCCTTAAGCAAGGACTACTTTTCCAATAAGGAGGCTCTGGTATCTAGTCCACCCCCATGGAGAGATAATGAGGTTCTGCCTAGGGAAGGGCAAAAAGAAGAATGATCTGACTGTATCTCGGGCCCCAAGAATTTAGTAGGCTGGTTCTCCCTCCACAGGCATGACAGAGCATGTTTGCCCTCATCTCTGGGACAAGCATCAAAACCTTTGATGCTATTCCCTGCTTTCCAGGCAGACTTGAGGGTATCTGGCAGTCTGAATCTGCAGACAAGCAGATTAGTGATAGTGTAGTAAGCGTCCTAAAGTGAAAATCACAGTAAAGATAGCATGCTGTCTTTGGAAAGGCATGGAAGGATAGACAATGGTGAGGGGAGTGGAAATAAGGAGTGGCAGTGAGGGAAGGATATTAATCTTACTTATTTAATCTTTATTTTGAAATGGTTTCATCTGTTACACAGAATAGGTACACTTTGTGTAGGAGATAGATGCTGACCATATTTGGTTATCACCTCCTCTTGGAAGCCTCCCATGATTCCTCTATATGGAGTCAGGTGTCCTTTCTCTCTTTTTCCAATGCATTTTATTTATCTCTGTATTATATCACTAATCAAATTCGACTGTATTTATTGGTTCACCCTTGTCCATCCCTCCCACTACACTAAGCTCCTCAAGAGTTGGGAATGATGAGGGCATGTACTGTGACTGGCACACAGAATGCTCTAATACAAATTAATTGATGGATTGACTGAAGATAACAACCCCTCACTCAATACCCTACTTCAGAGATTGGCAACCTTTTTCTATAAAGGGCCAGATAGTAAATATCTTAGGCTCTGCAGACCATACGGTTTGTACAACTACTCTACTGTGTCATTGTGGCATAGAAGCAGCCATAGGCTGCTTACATTCATAAAATGTAAATGAATAGGTGTAGCTACATTTCATTAAACTTTATTTACAGGTACTGAAATTTAAATTTCACATAATTTCCACGGGTCACAAAATATAATTTCTTCTTTTGATTTTTTTTCAATGATTTCAAAATGTAAAATCCATTCTTAGTTCACACCCTGTACAAAAAGAGGCAGCAGGCCAAATTAGCCCAGGGGTCATAGTTGGAGGATACCTACCTTCCCTGAAAGGCATGGCTGGTAACCAAGGAAATTCTACTTAAAGGGATGATTATTCACATCATATAATAGGTACTGAGTAACTTTGGGTATGTCCCAAACTTTCAACAACTATGAAAATTGAGGTAGTATCACAGAATTTTGTAAAGAAGAAATTATATAAGGAACCATATCATCATTGAAAGTTATGTAATTTCATTTGTGAGGAACATGAAAGCCTGTTGATAATAACAGTAACTAATATTTGTTGAGTACTTCTTATGACTAGACTTTGTTCTGTGATTCTTCAATGAATGAATCCACTTAAATATCACAACCATCCTGAGAAGTAGGTTCTATTGTTATCCAACTTAATAACTAAAGTATGAATAAATTCCCTAAACCTCAAAATTAAAAATTGGTAAGGGTGTGGTTTTTGAGCCAGGCAGTCCAACTCCAGAGTATGTTCGCTAACCACTAAATATACCACCTCTTAAGAGAATAACAAAAGTAAACTTTCAAATATTTCTCTAAGCTTTCTCTTTCCCGTTCTCAAGACTAGAAGAGTGAGCTGAATGAGAATGACTGGCAAGGACTGCAATGTGAATTACAACCTCACCTAGAAACTAGATATCTATGAAGATGGAAATCTAAATTACCAGCTGGCAAGCTGTGGTGATGTGGCCCCTGTTTAACCTAGGAGATTTTGATAGGCATACAGACACATGGGCCTATCCAGAAAGGAGCTAGTCTTCACAACTAGATCATCATCTGTTTGGGAGCTCATGCATGCTATTAAGTAAGTGAGTTTACTGTGTGTCTTAGTCCATTTGGGATGATATAACAAAATACATAAACTGTATGTATTAACATACAAACAATAAAAATTTATTTCCCACAGTTCTGAAGGCTGGGAAGTCATTAAAAAGTGAGCAAGATCTGGATGGACAGAGATGTACCCATTAGGCCTGCTGAGCCACCAGAGAGTGATGAAGTATTTGATTCTTCCACTATGAAGCAGTAAGAGAGCTAACGCCACAGAATATTGGCCAATATAGCAAGTATAGGAACTAATGAATTCAGAAAGCATTGAGGACTTCCTCTGGTGAATGGTGTAAAAGAAAGGTACCAGTTCAGAGGTGGTGCAGCATCTTTCTGCAGGTCCCTTTGGATGCCGTGAAAGGATGTAATAAAGCATAAGAATTTTACATAGCTCAAACATACAAAAATTTTTCTGGCCCAGCTCATTACCTGCATCCACAGAATTGAAGTAGTTCTACCCCAGGGTAAACAATGTACTTTTTAGGGTCATGAAGTGGTTCTGAGGACCCACTGACAAGTATCAAAAGATCCGTATATACCCGAGATTGGTATGAATATTCATGTGCATGTTTCTGGGGAAGCAATTCATTGCATTCATCAGAAACTTGAAAGTTCAAAAGTTGAAAGGTCCTTGTAAGCTAAGTGGTATCACTACATTTTCAAGTACGTTATCAAACAGGCATTTTCAACATTTGACCACCTGAGTGCAAACTGGATTGTAAGTTTTTGAGTAGCTCAGTTTAAATCAATCTAGGCTTGACCAGAGGTAACCTAGGAAACTCAGAGATATCAACCCATTCCTCCCCAATCGAGAAAGAGAGAGAGAGAGGGAGAGAGAGGAAAGAATATGTATGTTACACCCAGATTATTTCTGTAGTCTATTCACTTTCCCACTTTCCTTGAGAGCTGTGTTACATCTGTTTTCTCTGTCTCTATCAGCCAATTCTCCTGCTTCCTACTTCACTGAGAAAACTAAAGTTATCAGGAGAAAAATTCCACAGATTCTCACCTTCTCATCTACCCACCACTGGGTACTGACACTCAAATTCACTTTTCCCACCTGTTACTGTTTTCCTCCTCAGCACTGGATTCCATTTTTTCTCAAGGATATCACTCAGCAAATCTCTTCCATCTTTCATTCAAACATCACTTTCTCCTTTCTTTTGGATCATTTCCATTAACACACAAAACAAGCTACAAGCTATTATTTATCCTATCCTAAAATACCCCCCCACACACACACACACAATTTTGCCCCACTTTTCCATTCCTGCATCTACTTCCAGAAAGCCCAACATATAACAATGTCCAAAACTAAATTTCTGGGATTTATTGCTCAAATCCACTCTCCTTCTCCATCTCTCATTTCTGTTGATAGTAACTGCATCCTCCCAGTTTCTAGGGCTAAAAACTTTAGAATCATCCCCGACTTTTCGTCTTACACCCATGTTCAATCTGTTAGGAAATCTCACAACAGATTCCTACTTATCATTCAAGGTTCTAATTAAGTTCCTATATTTCTTCTTGAAGCTTTCCAGAATATTTCTGACTTCACAGGGCTCTCTCTTTTTCTACATATCTCTGCTGGCACTTCAGTTGTGTGTTGTAATGCTTGTAAATATTATCTTTTCTAACTCACTACAAATATGAATTATAACTCAGACTGTCTGCCTCCTACAGGACTAAACACACTAATGTGTATTTAGTAAAGAATCCATAAACATCACTCTAAGTGCTTGTTTTTGCTGCAAGTTTCCAATAAAATTGGTACACAAACAATACTTACTTCTATTAGTGATGTTTGACATCAGATCTTCTAAATTTCCTGCATTTGCAAAGATATCTGTCATTTCTCCAAACACCAGCATCATGAGAGGAAGTCCAGCCCCATGGATGATGGCAGCCAAAGTTCCCACCACCATATACAACTTGTCAAGCCAATTTGAATAGCGAAACTAAAAAGAGAGAAAAAAGAATAGCAGAGGAAAAATTAGTACAGTTTCATGGAAGATTTGCTTTTCCTTCAAAATATATCCAAAATCCAAACATTTTTCAGACTACTACTGATACCAACCTAGTCCAAGACACCCTCTACCTTTGCTAAATTATTGCAATAGTCTAATTAGAAATGGACATTTGATTCTTCCATTGAGTTCTGGCCTAATTCTTCATATTGGACTTGGTCTGTCTTCTTATATGAAGTCTAATGAGAAGGATGGGACATTCTGGGAAACTGTAAAAGTATTTAATGGTATATAATATGGTATTTGTTGCTCTAGTTTCTAAGAATAGAAGCCACTTATCATCTCATGGGCAAAAACTTGAATGCCAAAGGCCCCTCTGAGGATACCATGGAGGAAACATTGTGTTGCTTTAAGAAAGTGGTTTGGGTTAAAGACCTGCCAAACAATGGAACTGGTATAAAGGTAAAATGATTTGAAGATAATTAGGCCTCAAGAATGAGCAGAAAAAAGAAAGGAATGAGTCTGATGCATGCTTGTCAAGGAACATTTTTTCTGAGAAGACAGAATATGGCAATAATGAATGACCCACGTTGGAGATCTGCATAATCTCTTTAAATGTAGGCAGGTAACAGGAAGGAAAGAAAAGCTTCTCTGAACCCAAAAAGTTACAGGAAAAGGACACAGTTAAGAGGAATGGGCTCAGGGCCCCCTTGGGAAGTGATTAATACTGCTTCCCTATAACTCAAGGAACTAGCTAAGGATTGAAAGAAAACCAAAGGGAAAAAAAACAGAAATGGGGTAAAGCCAGCTGTGGGTGTCTATGGATAAATCCCAGGGCAGAAGGTTAACATGTGGATGCAAGGTGTAGCTGTAGGCAACAGGTTTGTAATGCAGGGAGGAAACTGGGTAAAAAAATCATAGGCCTAGGCAGGAAATATAAACCAAAACAAAGATTAGGCAGCAAAAAAGACATAGCCACAGACAGCAAGATTTTAGAACTTACATATACTTCACAAGGGGATAGAAACCAATCCTAGAGTTAGCTTACATGAATCTTACAGTAGCAACTGGGGGATTTGGTACTGGACTGCCGAGTGGAGAAATAAAGAATGGTTATTACCAGTAATGAATGGCAGTCCATAAAGCAGGAGATAAAAAGTAAAGCCAAATTATGAAATAATTAATGAAAATTAAGATATGGTGTGTAAAAAAGAGTATCTAATAGATACTTAAGTATTTGCATTTACCCTTTTTCTAGCTCTTAAATGTGTTATCAAATGAGCTTAAGTTTGGGTTCATGGCATAACTTTCCATGTTATTTATGGGTTGATGATCTAAAAACATCATCATATTTACAGATTAAAACATTAATGGGACAACACGTTTTGGCATATTTTTTCATATTTCATTGAAACACTGGCTAAATTTTGCACTATGTACTTTGTCTTAGATAAGAATTCATCTGCTTCCTTAAACAAAAATGAAAGGGAAGAGGTCTTCTTTTAGAGATTATATTAAAGTAGATAAAATATCAAACTCCTTAGTACAGGAAGAGAAGATAGTTGATATGAAAAAATTTCTCCCATCACCACCAACACAGGACATTTTACCTCCAGAACTGTCACTGGCCATAATAAAAATAAGTGGATCATGAAAGTAGACATTTACTGAATGCCTATTCAATGACAGATAAAATCCAGAGATAAATGCCAAAGATATAACCCTGCCTTCAGAGAGGTTAAAGAAAAATGTATATGCAATACATGCTCTGCATGCTTTGACAGTACAGTGTATAGAATAGACACAAAACTGAGTCAATCATCATTCCCTCCTTTGTGAAAAGGCTTCATATGATAAAAGAGGTGATGCTTCCTTCCAGCTTTGAAAGTTTACCAAGTGTAGCTGGGTGCAGTGGCTCACACCTGTAATCCCAGCACTTTGGGAGGCCAAGGCGGGCAGATCACGAGGTCAGGAGATCAATACCATCCTGGCTAACACAGTGAAACCCCGTCTCTATTAAAATACAAAAAAAGAAATTAGCCGGATGTGGTGGCAGGCGCCTGTAATCCCAGCTACTCAGGAGGCTGAGGCAGGAGAATGGTGTGAACCTGGGAGGCGGAGCTTGCAGTGAGCCGAGATCGCACCACTGCACTCCAGCCTGGGCGACAGAGTGAGACTCTGTCTCAAAAAAAAAAAAAAAAAAAAGGCATTTAAGCCAAAAAGAAAAGTAAACTGAGACAGAAAAGAGCACAATGTGCTTAAAAAAGACTGGGGACCCTCAAGTTTGGGGTGTAAAGTGTGGAAACAGAAATAGCTGACTGATCAAAAGACACCCCTCACTGAGCTGGGAAAATTGGAATTACATCTCTTAATCTTAGACTAGAAGGAAGGAGATTAAAGTGAGTACTAATTTTCCAGGAATAAAGACAGAAAATTGAAAGAGTTCAGAACCTCATATTTCCTTTTGTTTTTTTTTTTATTATTTTTTATTTGTTTATTTTAACTTTTAAGTTCATGGGTACAAATGCAGGTTTGTTACATACGTAAACTTGTTTCATGGGGGGTTGTTGTACAGATTATTTCATCACCCAGCTATTAAGCCTAGTACTCGTTAGTTATTTTTCCTGATCCTCTCCCTCCTCCCACACTCCACCCTCCGAAAGGCCCCAATGTGTGTTGTTCCCCTCTAGGTGTCCATGTGTTCTCATCATTTAGCTCCCACTTTTAAGTGAGAACATGTGGTGTTTGGTTTTCTGTTCCTGTATTAGTTTGCTAAGGATAATGGCCTCCAGCTCCAGCCATGCCCTGCAAAGGACGTGATCTCGTTTCTTTTTATGGCTGCATGGTGTTCAATGCTCTATGTGTACCACATTTTCTTTATCCAGTCTACAATTGATGGCCATTTAGGTTGATTCCATGTCTTTGCTATTGTGAATAGTGCTGCAATGAACATACAATGCATGTGTCTTTATAATACAATGATTTATATTCCTTTGGGTATACACCCAGTAATAGGTCAAATGGTATTTCTGTCTTTAGGTCTTTGAGGAATCACCACACTGTCTTCCACAATGGCTGAACAGTGTATAAATGTTCCTTTTTCTCCACAATCTTGCCAGCATCTGTTATTTTTTTACTTTGTAATAATAGCCATTCTGACTGGTGTTAAATGGTTTCTCACAGTGGTTTTGATTTGCATTTCTCTAATGATCAGTGATGTTGAGCTTTTTTTATATAATTGTTGGCCACATGTCTTTTAAGAAGTCTCTATTCATGTCCTTTGCCCATCTTTTTATTGGGTTGTTTGTTTTTTCTTTGTAAATTTGTTTAGGTTCCTTATAAATGCTAGAACCTCATATTTCTTAATGACATGAAGCAAGATTGATTTCTAGAGAGAAGGGGGTGAGAAGATTTGAAGAAAGTGGTAACATAATGCTGAGTAGGACAAAAGCCTCAGTCAAATGCCCTCACTCTGTAGTTTATTAGGAAGGAGACTTTAGGGGAAAAAAATCTTAATAACCTTGAGTCTCAGTTTCTGAATTTACAAAATGAGGAAAATATTCATACACACAGAAAACCTTACATAGCTGTTATGAGGGTAAAAATGAGAATACAAGAAACTTATTGAGCATACAATATGCAAATATATGATATAAGCAGATAATGTTACTGGTTTTGAAAATATAATAATTAACAAGACTTTTCACTCTCATAAAGTCAAAAAGCAGGCAGACCAAAAAACGTTGTAACACAGGTGAAATGTAAAATAGAAGTATAAACTAATTGTAATAGGAGCTTTTAAAAAAGGAAATGCGCTGGGCATGATGGCTCACACCTGTAATCCCAACACTTTGGGAGGCTGAGGGCAGGAGGATCACTTGAGCCCAGGAGTTTGGTACAGCCTGGGCAACATAGGAGACCCTCTCTCTACAAAAAAATTTAAAAATTGTTTGGGTGTGATGGCATGTGCCTGGGGTCCTAGCTACTCCAGAGGCTGGGGTGGTAGGATCACTTAAGCCTGGGTGGTTGAACCTGCAGTGAGCTGTGATCATGCCACTGTACTCCAGCCTGGGTGACAGAGTTAAGACCTAAAAAAAGAAAGAGAGAGAGAGAGAGGAGAGAGAGAGAGAGAGAGAGAGAGAGAGAGGGAGAGAGGGAGGGAGAGAGAGAGAGAGAGAGAGAAAGAAAGAAAGTTTGATTAGATGCTGAAAGGAAAGAGAGAGAAGGTGAACCAGAACCACATAAAAGGCATGTTGATCCGTGCCTAATGCCAAAGACTGGGCTTCCCAGGGCAAAGAAGTAGAAGGTACTGACAGGAGAGAGGTTTAGGTAACATTCACCAGATTAGATGGCAAACATGACTTGGATTTGAGAGAGAATTAATTCATTCATTTATTCATTTAACATTCAAGGGATATGTGAATATTTTAAAATATCTTTCAAATATTTGAAAGAACCTAATAAGGTCAGGCTTGGTTCTAGGTACTGGTAACAACAGTGAGTAAGAAAAGCTACCTATCCTCACAAAGCATACACTCTAGTGCATACACTAAAAGGGGGAATAGATGTATTCAACATTCATTCAATATTTAAGTTGCTATGAAAGTTCCAGGCACCATTCTAGGGCATTTGGGTTATAGTAGAGAACAAAATATACAAAAAATCTCCTGCCTCCACGGAGCCTACCTTCAGAGAGAAGACAAACACATAAAAAAGAAATCAGACAGTGATAAATATTCAGGAGAAAAGCCATACATGGTATGACACAGAGACAGGCAGGGTCACCTGGTTTAGATTGGCTGGTCAGAGAATGTCTTTCTCAGGAGGTAACATCCATGATGAGACTTCAGTGACAGGAAGGATACAGTTCATCCTGTGATGATCTGGGGACAGTGCATTCCAGGCAGGAAGAGCCAATGCAAAGGTACTTAGGTAAAAACCAGCTTGCTGTATCCCAAGGACCAAAGAGAATGAACACTGTGGCAAGAGCAGAGTGAGAGGGAATATTTGTCTGCAGTAAAGTCAGAAATAACAGAGGTCAGATATGTAGGGCATTTTGTGATGACAGGAAGGAGTCTGGGTTTTACACTGAACTTCCTGTGTAAGCAGAAAGGAAAGCATTTAATGGTTTTAAGGTAGGGACCAAGGTGATATGATGTGGCTGCTATGGGTAAATTTTTAGAAGAGCAAAAAGGAAGGAGGGATACTAGGAGATGAAAGAGCAGTTGAGAGAGTAAAGTCTTGACCAGGTGTGGTAGACAGAATAATTCTCCCCCCACAGCCTGTCCAAATCCTAATCCCAGGAACCTGTGAATATATTTCTTTACATGATAAAAGGGACTTTGCAGATTTAAAAGATCTCCAGATAGGGGATTACCCTGGATTATCTAGGAGAGCAAATGTAATTACAAGGGTGCTTATAAGAGGGAGGAGGGGGCCTGGAGTCAGTAGGAGATGTGATGATTGAAGTAAGAGGTTGGAGTGATGCAAGGAAGGGCCTGTGAGTCTAGAAATGCAAGTGTCCTCTAGAAGCTGAAAAAGGGAAGGAAACAGAGCCTCCAGAAGAAATGCAATCCTGCTGATACCTTGACTTTAGCCCAGTAAAACTTCGATTCCAGAACAGTAAGGTAATAAACTTGTGTTGTTTTAAGCCACTAAGTGAGTGCTATTTTCCTACAGCAGCAATAGGAAATGAATACACAATGTCAAAAGAGGGATGATAAAGAGGCAGGGCAGAGCTGGAAGGAATCACAGGTTGTGGTCAAAGACTGATACACGTGTGTGTGTGTTTATACCTTCATAGAGGAAAGCTCACCCAGACAATAAGCCCAAGATCCTGTCCACACGTGCAATTTACTAAGGTACTCATGTAATTTATGGAGCGTCGTTGTTGGAACTGAAGCAGTCAGAGAATGTTGAGACTTATTTGTAAGGTCACCAAAATACTCAGAAGAATAACAGGAACATAAGGTGAATGAAGTAGAAGCAATCAAATGCCAAAGTCCTCAAGGAATGGGGGTGGGGGTATACTTCGAGGATACCACCGAAAATAGATAGAAGATAGTATAATTATGCAGAATGAAACTCAAATGACAAAGGAGTTTGCATGAGAATAAAAAAAATTTGAAAATGGCTTTGTGGAACTATAGGAATGTCCACATCATCTCTGACTCCTGTGATAAGGGGTTGAGGAACTTAACTTTACAGGCGAGGGCAGCACAAGAAAAAGCCAAAGAGCTGGAGGAAAATCAGCAAACCGTGACATAACAGAAGCAAATACAAAAAATATAGGAGAAAGTCTAAGTGCTGCTGAGAGATCAAGATAGAATTTTAAAATGTCCACTGAATGTAGAGAGAGACAGGAACAGGAGCCAAACTTCAATAGGTTGAGAACTAAGTCAATGGCGAAATCAAGACAGAACGCAAAGGCCACTTTTGTGTGTGAAGGGAGCTGGCAGGGGTGGCTCCATGAAGGGCATCAGTGCCTTGATGTGTCAATGCCAATGGGACAGATCCAGTTGAGAGGGAAAGATGGAAGATACAGAAGAGAATGAGTGGTAATAATGATGTAAGGTCCCTGAGAAGGCAGAGGAGATAGGAGCCAAAGTATGAATGATTAGTCTTAAGACTAAAACTCTGTCATAACTGGAAAGAAGGAGGAGGAAACAGATTCAGACACAGGTAGGTTTTTATGATTATTGCAGCTGTGAAGCTCAAGGAGTGATTATCCATATAACCATAAAAGTCACCCAAGTTGGTTGGAGCACCAAAGTGGAAAGGGAGGATACTGAGCCAGGTGGCGTAGTCTTTGATGATGAGATGGTCATAAGATCAAAAGATAGCAGCAATAAAGAACTCTTCAATTCCAGAGAGATAACAGTTTAACCAGTCATAAATGATTACAGTTGTTAAAAGCAACTGGGCATATCTGAGTCTACCCTGCTTAGTAGCTATGTGACCCTGTGATTTTGAATGCATTACTTAACTTCTCTAAGTCAAGTTCTTCATCTGGAACACAAGAATAACACAAGTTCCTAAATTGCAGGTACTTATGTCCCTATATGAAGATTATGTCACACAATAAACATAGGGTATTTAACAAATGCCTGGTACAAGGGAAACACTTAACATTGTTAGGTATTATCTATTTAGAAAAAAATTAATGTTTCCCTAAGACACACATAATAGAAAGCTCAGAGTTCAATCTACAGTGCACAATTCTTGCAAGAATATATAATCTTTTTTTTTTTTTTTTTGAGACAGTGTCTCACTCTGTCACCCAGGCTAGAGTGCAGTAGCACAATCTTGGCTCACTGCATCTCCACCTCCTGGGTTCAAGTGATCCTCCCACCTCAGCCTCCCGAGTAGCTGAGACTACAGGCATGTGCCACCATGCCCAGCTAATTTTTGTACTTTTCACATAGACAGGGTTTTGTCATGTTGCCCAGGCTGGTCTTGAACTTCAGGGCTCTAGTGATCTGCCCACCTTAGCCTTCCAAAGTTCTGGGATTACAGGCGTGAGCCACAGCACCTGACCAAGAGTGTATAATCTCTAAGAAGTTCATTTTGTGTAGAAATTACAGCCCAGCTCTATGTGTCACATTTCCTCACTTGCTTTAGATTTTATTCTACTTTTGTGTTTCTGTAAATGTTGAAACAAGGTCTGATATAAATTTAAAAGGCTAGTATAGAATTTTGAATCTATTCCTTACTTCTTTCATCACTTTTTTAAGATTGCTAAAAAATCTCATAGTGGAAATAAATTAACAGACATTGTGTGCAGACAAGAGCTAACACAGCAGCTCTGAGGCTGCCATGTTTAGAAAGGCCTGTATACAAAGGTTGGCCCTTGGCTGGAACTTGGATTTGGGGAGGATTACCACCATTCTAACTGATAAGTATGGCCAAACTATCTGTACAAACAATATGATTCTTCATTCTGCAGTTCTGCCTTCCTTCTATGAGTCTGAAATTTTGGTGCATGCTGGGTAGGTGCCTACATGATCAGTTCCTAATAAAATCCTTGGGCACTGAGTCTCTAATGAGCTTCTCTGATAAACAGCATTCTACAAGTGCTGTCTTAACTCATTGCTTGGGGAAATTCAGTGTGCCCTGTGACTCCATTAGGAGAGAACTCTAGGAGCTTGCACCTGGTTTCTTCTGGACTTCTCCCCACTCGCCTTTTGCCATGGCTGATTTTGCCTTGTATCCTTTTGTTGTAATAAACATTAGCCATAAATCCTCTGGGTCCTCCTAGTCTGAATCACTGAAGCTGGGCTTCTTGGAAACCCTGAACACACAATGTTTTTTGTCTTCACTGAAAACTATTATTAATAAGCAATGCCAGTGACATCACCAATATATTGTTAAACTTTTATTATGTTCTTGTGTTTATAAGTTTTATATTGAAGTTACATTCAATGTTTTCTATGTTGACTTTTCAGGAAAAAGATGTGAGGAAAATCTATCTAAGTAGTAGAGTACTTCATCAAGAGACTTAGAATATATTCTCTCTATCCTGGCCCCATTGTACATCCTCAGACAAGTGAACATGTCTGGCTCCAGTTTCTTCATGTGTAAAACTGGAATAATAATAGTATCTTTCTCAAAAGGAGTTGTAAGGATTAAATGAGATTAAATATGAAATACTTAGGACAATGCTTGGCACACAGTGCTTTATGTGTGCTATTACTACTACCTCATATTAAAGCTCCATATTTTTATTCTTTTGTGCCTTAAAATGAATTATTGATAACATTGCCTCTATATAGTAGGTCTGTTAAATTTTCTAAAATATAAGACTCCTAAGGTTTAAAAAAATTTAACTACAAATAATAAAAACTGAAAGTCTCAAAGTGACAGCACTGAAATCCTGGGGATAAATACAACTTTAACCTAAACGCTTCTTTCCATACAAGAAAGTAACAATGAAAACTGTCACTTGGTTACTCAAGTAGCCTAAGAATGACTCAAGTACATAGTCTCATCTCACCAAAATTCCAAAGGGCGTAGAGATAGAATAAAAGCAGGAGTCATGGCAAGAGCAATGGTAGCACAGAGAAACGAAGATCACATAAGGGAACCATAGAGTCCTCAGTGTAAAAGTCACATGACTGTTTTTTCCCTACCTACAACTATTTTTATAGTCAATTTATTAAAATCCATTTTGCAAGACAATCTATCCACTCCCTTACCTTAAAAAAATTGCTGTGTTATGACTGAATTATAAAGCATGTGCTGTTGGACTTAATTGGTTTAGTAGTCTTCCAGGTTCTAATCTCTGGAATCTTTCACCTAACAGTTCACCTAAATTTGTACTCTTAGAAAAAAGGAAGTAAGAATCCAGGTAAATAAGAGGTCATTAACTAGGCAGAGGTTGCAGTGAGCCAAGATCACAGCACTGAGGTCATCAACCAACCACACATATATGATACATGTCTGATTCCAAGTGTGATTAAAGAAAAGCTTCTAAAAAAACCACTGTGCAACCAGAAAATGAAATAAAGAGTTACAATAAGGTTTTCGAATTCTAGATTTTCATCTGTTTAACACAGGGGAATAATGGCATATGACATATTTGAAATCATAGTAATAAATAATCCATTGCTACCTTTTATTGTTAGTAATGGATTTTGAACTAAAATTTGCAATGGACTAACCTAAATGACCTAAAATTTGCATAGTAATAAATAATCCATTGCTAACTTTTATTGATAGCAACTGACTTTGACCTAAAAAACCTGCCAAATTTCAGAGCCATTAAAGACAGCATTCTATGTGATTGGTTTCCTCTATGCAGATGGGAGAGGTGCTTGTGTAGGTAATGGATCACTGGCAACATAATTCATTAGAAGAATTGAAATCTAAGTCAGGAATGGTGGCTGTAGATTAGTAATATAGATAGCAAGTTATGATCAGCATTCTCCTGAAAATAAGCTAAATCAAACCAATTTATTTTGCATCTCCATTAACATACCCTATACGAAAATCTTACATCAGATGAAATATCTCTTTTCCATGTAAGGAGATGTCAAATTTCCGAAGTATTTTGAATAGTTAATAAATTCAAAACTCACCATTGAAAATACACTGACAGTTGGTTTCTTTTCCTTCTTATCTTTTTCACTGCAAAACAGCAATGGAATTACATAAAACTTTAAAAAGTACATATTTTTTAAATTACCCAAATTAACATAGAATGTATATTTAATGACTAATAGGAAGAAGAAATATGTCTATATTATACAGTTAAAAAACAGGATGATAATAGTATGACCCCATTTATAATGTTTAAATATGTTTACATATATCTTAGAAATCTACATACGTGGTTATCACTGAGTGCTGGAATCTCTCTAAAAATATTTTCTTCCTTGTGCCTTTGATATTTCCTGATTTGCTATGATGAATACATACATACACCCTTTGCAATTAGAAAAATATACATACTGAAAAGAGTTCCCTGTTTTTATTCTAATTAGAAAATCATTCATGCTTCCCCTTAATTATGAATCCCCTTAATTGTCATTTGATTAATGATGGCAGTAGACATTTTATCCATCCACTACCCAGATATTATTCTTAATCCTTCCCTTTCTAGTGAAGAGAAGTGGCAATTAGATGCTGGGCATAACTAGCCTCAGAAGAAAATTAAATTACTCCTTATAAGCAAATCTAATTGTGAAAAAAATGTCTGGAGTCCTAAATGGACCATTATGAAATAAATGCACGCTAGAAAGCTATGGTCAGAAATGATGTTCTATAAATTGTCAAAAAGTTCTCCTCAGGCATAAGGTCAACTATTATTTTGAGCCCAGATACAAATGAATCTAACTCTGTAGCCCATTTTCTACTCTGTGTAACTGCTACCTAGGATGTGAAAGCAAACCAACCGTAACAAATCTGCCTCATCTGTATTTTTGTAGGTATAAAAGAAAAACTATTTTAGAAAAGATTTGTGTTATTTTTTACACGGTTTTTAAGTTCATAAGGTAAATTCATCTTTGTCTTTGTTCTTTACACTAAGTGAGGTCAAAAGAGGTGAGGAGACTTCTAAAGAAAAAAATCCAGAGTTTACCCATTTGGCTTTGGAGTAATGTTAGACAGACATAAAATACACAAACACAACTCTTCAGGTTTGGTCCCACCCAATTCCCAGTAAAGGCATGGTTTCAGTATCCCTGGAACCAGGATGAAAGGAGAAAAATAGCCATAAATAGTTGAGTTTTAGCTCTAAGCCTTTTATTTATTTTTTTGTTCTCTAAAACAGCTGCTACTCTGGAGAAGTTATAATGTTCCAGGCACTGGCTAAGTAAGCACTTCCCACACACAATTCATAAACAATTCTATGAGGAAGACACATTTTTGTTCTTTTAGAGACGTAGAAGAGTGAGAAGAGTTAACTTGTCCAAGGTTCACAGCTATAACTAAGCCAATATTTAAATGCCAAGTCTGTTCCCTGACCACCAAACTATAAGGTGCAACCTCAGATTTCTGAGATACTGCATCGCATCACATTAAAATGCACTTTCACACAAACTCTCACCCCTACTAGATAACTTACTTATCCCCATTAGCACAAAAAACAGTGCTTAGAAAGACAAGTCATTCATCAAACATCATTTTAATAAAGAATCTTTGCTAATAGTCATATTCCAAATAGGACTATTATCCCAGCATTATCTATTACCAAAGCCATATGCTTCTTTACAATCCCATGTTAAAATAGATTTAAATCAATGGCAATGAACACAATTTAATAAGAACTACTTTAAAATATAATCTCTAATTTGAAAAAAAAAGTCTATAGGCCATGATAGAACCAATAATAGAAATATGTGAAAGATCATACAATTTTCTTTACTGTTTCTCTTCACATACCCTCAATATTTCTTAGTTAAATCTACCTAAATGTTTGTATCATAAGTACATAATTCTTTAAGCTATCAAGTTTTCAAAAATACAAAGTTAAAAACAAAAAGTGGAATACCTACCCTCCACTCTATGGAGTCTTTTTCATGGTTTATATGAACATTTTTGTTACAAAAATTTTCAATTGCAATTACATGTTCTCCTACCATTATCACATCTAAGAAAAGTGATTACAATTCTGATATTGGCTAATATCTAATGCACATTCAAATCTCCCAAGAATGTTTTCCATAGGATTTTTTCCTTGTTGAACTTTTAGATTGTTTTTGTTTTGTTTTGTAATGTTCACACACTACGTTTGGTAGTTATATCTCTTTAGTCTCTATTAATCTAGAAGTCCTCCTTTTATTTTTTTAACATTGACTTTTGTAAAGGAACAAGAACAGCTGTCTTACAGAATGTCCCACATCTTGGGTATACCTGTATCAAACTGAATACAAATGGGAGGTGCAATAAATGTAAAATACACATCAAACAGGAGATTTAGCATAAAAGAGAATGTAAACTATCTTATTAATCATTTTGATTACATGTAGAAAATCCAATCTTTTGGACATATTGAGTTCTATAAAATATATTTACAAAATTACTTTATCTTTTTATTTTCATTTTTTACTGTTGCTACTAGAAAATTTTAAATTACAAATGTGGCTCACATGATATATCCATTGGACAGCCCCAGTCTACAAGTTTAATTGTATACAGACTAAATGTTTTTGCAGATATATTAATATTTGCTAGGTGATGTTGTTTACTCAAAATCCAAGTGATGAGTCATTTACTACAGTCCATTCTACCGTGAGAGATACCAGGTCTGATCACTCGGTTAAGGTGCTAACTGCAAAATCTTTAATTGGAGAAGCATATTCTCCTTCCAATTAGTAAACATTCTGAAGAAAATTCTTAGATACAACATTTTTCTGATAGTTTAGAGTTCATTGACAATCCTTGCCTGAATCTATTATAACAATGGAAGTTCCAAAATGATAGCTGGAATTTTTCTCTAAAGATCATTGCTTTATTTTCTCTACCTCTCACACTTTCTTTCAGTTTCCCTTCTCTCAGAATATTAAGCATTCAGCAGTAGCATTCAGTATCTCAAAATCAGTTACAGTTACGATGTTCTTTGATGCTCAAATTGTCCCAGAGTTGGCCATTGGAAGCATCTTCCAGACAGCTTCAGTGTGCTTTCGACTACTCCATTAAACTCCACTTCCTTATTTTCAGGTACCACAAGATACTCCAGGCTCACTTTCTATTTTTCCTGTCCCAGACCTGGCTGAAATTAGCTACTGAGGGGTTCATTTCTTTTAGGGAGGAATGGTATTTAGAAACCCAGATCTGGTACTAACAGTGCTCATTGTTACTGTCCCTTTCAGTGGACTGAAAATGAACTATTAAAAGATTATGAATTCATATTGAAATTTCTAATTCAAACTTAACATTATTTTTAAAAATGTATTTGATTTCCACATTTGTATTTTTTCTCTTACACTGAAAAGCTTGGTTTCTTATAATATTAATGTGTTTACTAATTTATCTTATAATTTACATTACAGTTTCTAATATTATTAAACTTACTAGTCTATTTTACAATTTACTACTAACAATGAATCTATTTAGTGAAGTTTTAAATATTCTATAAAGGCAGAGCACCATGATCAAAATTTACTTTAAATAATTATTTTCCCTATATGATTACATTACCAATATTATATACAGATATTTATTGCCAGTTAACAACCTAAATGTACTTTTGACCTTCTGTCTCATCAGCCAGGCCACAAACGCGATGTTTACATAGCCATTTACCGGAAGCAAGAGCCTGGACCACAGAGCAGATCACCAGCAGCATATGGCTCACGTGTGGGCGACCAACACCACTTGAAAAGCAGAAGTTCATAAGACAGAAACACATATGAGCATCCGCCTGTCTGGGGCAGGAAAGCTGAGAAAGAGGCACACCAAGACTAAGGGAAAGAGGCCGGGAAGGGTAAAAAGGTGAAATGAAAAGAGGTTGGTGAATGACTAAGAACGGTTGGATAGGACAAATAAGTTCCAATGTTCGATAGCAGACGAGGGTGACTACAGTTAGCAATATATTGTATATTTCAAAGTAGCTAGAAGACTTAAAATGTTATCAACACATAGAAATGAAATATACCTAAGGTGATGTATCCTTCAAATACCCGGACTTGATCATTACACATTCCGGGCATGTAAAAAACGCTTCCATGTACCCCATTTCATAAATATGTAAAATATTATGTATCATTAAAAGAAAGAACAAAAAAGACAGGGAAAATGCATATGCTGTGCTCCACTCAGCCAACAAACTTCTGCTCTAAGCAGGGATATTGATTCCAAAGGCTAGCTTGCGTTTCTTAAAAATAATTAAAAACAACAACATGTCATTTATTTCAGAGCTGGAGGCTAGAAATAAATTACTCAAATCTCGCAACTATGTAAACTATGAAAATGAAACAAGCTAGTTACCTTTTATTGTTCAGTTTAAAAAAGTTCTTCTTCTTTGCTCCTCCATTGCGGTCCCCTTCAAGATCCATTCCGACCTGAAGAGAAACCGCAGCTCATTAGCCAAATGCATGAGCCTCAGGCGCGCTGGAGGTGAGACTAACCTCTAGTCCCCCGTCGAAGCCAGAGAGCAGTAAGAGGGAGCGCCCGCCGTTGATGCCCCAGCTGCTCTGGCCGCGATGGGCACTGCAGGGGCTTTCCTGTGCGCGGGGTCTCCAGCATCTCCACGAAGGCAGAGTTGGGGGTCTGGCAGCGCGTTCTGGACTTTGCCCGCCGCCAGTGCGATTCTCCCTCCCGGTTCCAGTCGCCGCGGACGATGCTTCCTCCCACCCACCGCCCGCGGGCTCAGAGAGCAGGTCCCCGCACCGCGCGGGCTGTGCGCGCTCCGGGCAACATGGTCCAGTGCCACTACGGTTTGGGCGCTGCTCCAGGAGCTCCTGAGTCTAGATCTAACCCCACTTGGTCCCCATGGACTTGCCAGAGGACTTCACACTATCCACGCCTCAAGAAGCCCTTCTCCCGTGAAGACCAAGTTCAGGAAATCTGAAAGCCTGACACTTGGGAACTGTCCCATAGTAGCTCCCAGCTTTGCGTGCCCCTACCTCGCGCTCCTTGGAACGGCCACCAAGACGTGAAATTTTGGAAGAAGATACTCCGACTTTAGTGGAAAGACCTAAAGGAAACGAACAGCGGCCTCTGCTTCTTTGAGCTTGGAAGAGCCGCTACTCGAATGAGCTCAGGCTTCCTGTGGCAAAGAGAGCGAAGCGGCTGTGCTCAGCCCACGCCCCGGCGCTGTTCCTGCCCAGCCAATCAGCCTCACCACAGATGACTGCTCCCGGCCCGGATTGACTGAATGCTGATTCCTCGAGAAACTGCGAAACAGGTTGAATTTCCAGGAGGAATGTTCTGGCTTCCGTTGCACCTCTCTAGAAAGGGCAAGTAGAGAAACGCGCATCAGCTGAATCATTGGGGACATTTCAACTTATGTAGACACGTCTTTCAAAGTTCACATAAGTCTTCATATCCATATAACTACAGGACGTAGTTAAGGGAAATTTTCTCGGGATTCGCATTTAATACAGTTAATACAAAAACTCCGACCTCTCCAATTCTGTATCACCTTTCTGCTTCCTAACACCTTTGAAAAGGCTAGGAGAAATTTTTCTGCAGTGGTCTTTCTTCAGCATGCTTGACAGTTTCTGAGTTACATCTGTTCATCCTTTATTTGATGATAAATGGAATGAAAGAAAAAGGAAGTTTTAAAAAATATATAGAGACAGGTATTTCAAGGTACAAATGCTATTTCAAAGTGTGTAATATTTTAAAACTTCAGACGTCAGATCAATGCCCGTGTTTTTCCAGGGCATTTTAAATTCTTACATTTTAATTCAAATTAGTAAAATAAACATAGCATGTTTTAGCATATTACATTAGTTGTAATTTCCTTCCATATTTACTGCCAACATTTAATATTTTTTCCTGTCCACTATTTACTTCAAACTGAGGAAAAGTACGTGCAATCTGCACAATTCAAAATTGTAAAGCAATGCTAACTCACATCAGAGCTTTTCTTACTTCTTATGAACATAGAGGAAATAGGTTTGTTGTATCCTCTAGTCTACATTCTATGACTTTCACATATTACCTATCAGTTTATTGCATAAGTTTAGAAGAAGAAAATCACTTTGTTTTTTACTGCATAGTCTGAGGATGTTTCCACTTTCTTTAAATAACTCATACTTCAAAGCCATAATTTTTTTCTATTCTTGACTACAAATTTTCCTTATCTTGATATATTTTGTTCTTGGCCTTACAATACAATGAAGTTTTCTTTTGTTTTTCTTTCTTTTTTCTTTTTTGAGACGGAGTCTTGCTTTGTCGCCCAGGCTGGAGTGCAGTGGCAGGATCTCGGCTCACTGCAAGCTCCGCCTCCCGGGTTCACACCATTCTCCTGCCTCAGCCTCCCAGGTAGCTGGGACTACAGGCTCCCGCCACCACGCCCGGCTAATTTTTTGTATTTTTCGTAGAGACTGGGTTTCACTGTGTTAGCCAGGATGGTCTTGATCTCCTGACCTCGTGATCCGCCCGCCTCGGCCTCCCAAAGTGCAGGGATTACAGGCGTGAGCTACAGCTCGGCCTCTTTTTTTTTTTTTTTTTTTTTTTTTCACAAATTGTTAATTAGGCTTCTAACAGGCCACTATTTTTTCCACATGTTCTAATTGCATATGCAAGTGTACAGCATTGTTCACTGTTTAAAGGCTTAACAACAACCCTGTGGTCCATCTGGGGTAAATGTAAAAGCTTTCATCTTCATTACATGCGTTTTTAATCTTATTTGTGCCTATGATCTCTGTTTTCACTTTTGTTTTGCTTTGTTGCTTTATCTCACCTTTCATTTATGTAATCTTGTTGTATTTTATGTATCCTTTTGAATGGCCTTAAACCCTCCCTAAACAGTGCAGGATATAAATACAGTGCTATACTGTTATGTTGATTATACTATTTCTACAATCTTGAGCATCAGGTAAAGATCTCTATCAAAGATATAAGTAAGTTAAAGATCAGAATAACACAGATTTTAAAAATAAGATTCTACCATTCTATTATATTGTATTCCATTTCTTTGCTCCACTGACATGAAAGTGTGAATATAAAACATGATGGACCTAAAACAAACTAGCTCTTGCTACTTTCAACAGTCCTTGGTTTCTTGAAAGACACCAGTCTTGCATTTGTGCCACCACCACTTCTGTCAAGCTGAACTTGGCTGTTCTCCTTAAGCTTCCTTAATTTCTGATGAAACCTACCTGGTCCCCTTGCAAGTTGACACTCATATACCTTCATTCAAGCGGTGATATTTCCATTTGAAGTGACTGCCACAATCTGCACCTTCTTGTCCTCCGCTCTCATGTAGCCATTTCACCAACTTGTCTATACTCTGACAACATTAAAGATTTGCCTCTCTGCTGCAGTCTGTTCTATATGTATCTATGGGAGTAATAATATATAATGATAATAATAACAACTAACATTTATTAACTACTGGTCATTTATCAGGAACTGCCAAGCACTTCAAAGAAATTAAGTCATTTAATCTTTACAAGAATCCTATGAAGTAGTTACTATTTTTGTTACTCCCATATTACAATAAAAGACACTGAGGTTTGCATTATTTGCCCAGTCACACAGCAGGTAAGGTGCTAACCAGTAGTCCCTCTCTCATAACTGTACTCTTAACCACTATCCTACACTGTAGTACATTATCATAGGACACACCACTTCACTGCCTTTTCCAGTCCCACGAAGTGTTTTCTCCTTATGAGTCCATCTTGGAAAACCTGCAATGGCTCCCTGCCACAGACTATATCATATCTAACAGTTTCCTCTTAGCTTTTAAGAACCACAACACATCACTTCTCTCTAATCATCTTCCTCACCCTCAACATGTACATGTTCACTCCATTTCAGCCAAACTCACTGGGCTTCTCAGATGATATGTGCTTTTCACTCTGTGCTTTTCCACATGTAAATCATTAAACTAAACTAATTTACAAAAGTTTTCTTCTTTAGTACCTGGCTGCATTAAACTATTTGGACTTCAAAGGCAGAAAAACTTAGATAAGGACCATCTCTGCTGATTATTATGCATAGGTTTGAACGGGTTACTTAACTCTGCTATCCCACAGTTACCTTTTTGGTAAAGAGTAGATAGTATCTTCTAATGTTATGGCAAGATTAAGTGATTTGTGTATTTAAAAGATTTGTACAGTGCCTGAAACACCCTAAACATTCAACATTGCTATATATTAGTAATAATGCCCTCTTCTCAATCTCTTTTTGCCCTCCTTAGCATTCTTTGCAACTCATGTATGTAGTCACATCTATGTATCCATATACGTTTGACCTATTATTCTCATATCCCAGCTCTGAGTCCTTTATTATGAGTATTAACAACACATTTATAGAAATTAAAAAGCTGTTCACCTATTTTTCCTTCTCCTATGGTTTTTAATTCTTTTGGATGTTTTTCTCATAATTCTTTTATTGTAAATCTTATGTATCTTTCTCTGATCTCTCTAATAATTTATTTTCTGTATTTTTCCTAGCTCCTCTATTTAGCCCATCTGAGTCCAGATTGAAGGTTCAACATGCTTAAAGAAGGAATGCAACTCACCTCAATGAAGTTAATTGACCTGAGGCAGAGAAAGAATACAAGTTTCCACTCAGTCCAAAGAGCAAGACATATGACTCACTTGTGTTAACAATAATAACACAATATTGTTATTGTGTTACAATAACACAATAATAAGGGATCCACACACTCTCCACCCTTTCACATGTAATGATTTTTATGTATGAAGGACATGTGATGATAGGGGATATTAAATGACTGTACTTGATAGGGGATATTAAATGACTGTGCTTGAACTCATGTTGGATTACATCAGATTGCTTCTATGGACACCTGCATTGAAAAAAAAATCCAGATTCCGAAGGTCAATAGGATCATTTTCAGAGGTCGTTTGTCTTGCCATCATTTAGCCAATACAGCAACAGACATGAGTTGTGTGAAATGGTGATCAGATGATGATAAATTAATTTAATTTTAATTAAGTCGCTTAGTGAGTTAGCCATGTGATAAGTCGATGGCAAATGGAAACCTGAATTATACTCCTCTTTGAACACTTCCCCATCTACTACAGCCAGAAATATTTTCTACCACTCCGCAATCCTACTTTTCAGTATCGGCATCTCTCATTTTGTATTTATTATTAATGTTTCATATGATTATGAATTTTTTAAATATTCAAACTGGACAGAGACTTATACAAAATAAAGTTTCAATAAATGTTTGTAGAAAATATTAGGTGCTGAGAGTATGACATCAGAGGCAGATTTATGGAAATTACACTAGTAGGCTAAATGCCTAAGTTATCATTAGCGTGCCTTCAAAGATCCGTTGCCATGAACTATCTCCCTTATCAACTTCTTTTTATTGAGATGGAGTATTACTCTGTCTCCCAGGCTGGAGTGTAGTGTTAATAATCCAGGCGCACTGCAACCTCCGCCTCCTGGGTTCCAGCAATTCTCATGCCTCAGCCTCCTGAGTAGCTGGGATTATGGGAGTGCACCAGCACACCAGGCTAATTTTTGTAATTTTAGTAGAAATGGGGTTTCACCACATTGACTAGGCTGATCTTGAACTTCTGGCCTCAAGTGATCCACCCACCTCAGCCTCCCAAAGTGCTGGGATTATAGGCATGAGCCACCACGCCCAGCCTCCTCTATCAACTTCTAAGATCTTTAAAACTCCATTAGAGAATCATCTCTCTGAGTAAGTCACTGCCCCCTATTAAAATAAATCTACCATAATAGCACAAGAAATGTTTTTAAATGAATGACAAAATTAAGAGGAGAGAAGACAACTGAGTAAGATAAAGGGAAAGAAGAAAATGAAGTGGCAACTCTTGGAATTCCAGCTTCATGACTTACTAGCTGTGTGGCTTTGAAGAAATACTCCACTGCTCAAAAGACTTGATTTCTGTGTCATTTGAAGAAATACTCCACTGCTCAAAAACCTTGATTTCTGTGTCATTCAAATAAAGACAAAAACAGCATATTCCTAGGGTTTTTGTAAGAAGAAAATAAGGTAAGATTTGATGTGTGTTTAGTATAAATTGTATTATTTCCCAAATATCCTAATAAAGATGGTCAATGGAGCCAAGATATGAATAAAAATTAAGAACATGAGAGTAAAAGTGATGACTGGAAAGGGCTAGTAATGGACATTGAAAATAAATAATAATATGGCAATAATTTTATTACTTTTAAAGAAATCTATAAAAACAACAAAATTATGAAGAAAATTGAATAAATTCACATTTAAAACCAACAACAAACCATATAGCTATTTATTGCAAATATCACAATAGGTTAATATTCTTAATATATAAAGAGCTTATATAAATGGATAAGAAAAAATTCAAAGGTCTAATAGAACCGAGCAAAAGATGCAAATAGGCAATTCATATAAAAAAGTATGTAGTATACTGGTACACAGAAGAAAACATACTGAAATATTCATGCTAACTACAAAGAAATGCAAATTACAACAGCAAAGATATTTTGAAAAATGAGACTATCACATGCTCACAAGAGTTAAATAAACAAGTAGGAGTTGAAAATTATTCAAATGAATAAGGAAACATACATAAGGAAAACTTAAGTCTGTTTGACTCAGTAATTCAATTTTAGGAAATCTATCTTAAAGAAATAATTCCAAGTACAGAAAAAAATATCAGCCAAAGGTATTCATTGCTGCTTTATTTTATAACAGTGAAAAATGAGCAGTGACCTGAATACTTAACCACATATATATGGATGAATTAATTATTATACATCCTCTTTAAAAAAGTAGTAATATAAAACGTGCTTACAGAGTTTGTGATAACCTCAGAAAATACCTATGCTAATATGCAAGGACAAAAGGCAGGGGAAAATTATAATAGCATAATATTCACTATATCAAGCAAATTAATTGGTGTAATATTAGAGATAAAGATATCAAAGTGTCAAGAGTGATTATCTTTTAGTGATGAAAGTTAGGTCTGAGTTTACTTTAATTTTTTCTGTATTTGAGAAATTTCCTATATTAAAAGTGTATTATTTTATAATATTTTTTATAAAAGTTTGGAGATGGGGATGAGAATGCATTTTCAGAATCCTGGTTATTAGTATCTATCTCTCAGTGGAGTTTGCTCCTTATTAAGGGACACTCACATTGAATGAAGGCCAAAATTAACTGGCTAAAACAAGAAACATTGAGAATTCCCAGTATTTTTCATTTATTAATAAGTTTCTCATATTTCTGAAAATCTTACCCATGTTTCTAAGAAAAGTGAGAGAGGAAGAAGAGAGAAAGAGGTAGAGATAGAGATTCTCCTTAAGTAATAAGAAAATACATGGGAGGCTGAAATAACTGGATTCTAGCTTTGGTCATCAACTGTCTATATAAGTTGGATACATGGTTTTTTTCTAATTACTGTTTTCATATCAGCCTCAAAGAGTTATTGAGAAGATCAAAGCCCTGGAGGTATTTTTCATAACTAAGCACCATATACCTCCACTTGAGGAAGATAATACAGAAGAGAGAAGTCCAATTAAGGACTTCAGTGTCATTCTCCTGAAGAATTTAAGTTCTGTGAGGGTAGAAATCTTGTCTCTATTTTTATTCTGTATATAAAATACAGCACATACTATGTGCTCAATTCCTCCTTTGGGAGAGCTAGAGAAATGTCCATTAACAGCATTATTTGACACTTTATAGCTTATCCAAACAAATAAAGATGGACTTAAGCTGGGGAATTATTTTTTTCTTTGATTCTTTTTTTTTTCTTTACTTAATTTGTGTGTGTGTGAGACAGGGTCTTGCTCTGTCACCAAGGTTGAAGCACAGTGGCGCAATCACAGCTCACTGCAGCCTCAACCTCCTGCATTCAAAGGATCTCCCCACATCCTCCTCTCAAGTAGCTGGGACCAAAGGTGTGCGCCACCTTGCCTGGCTAATTTTTTTTTGTAGAGATAGGCTGTCACTATGTTGCCCAGGCTGGCTAAAACTTTTATTGATCACTATGTGGCAAGTACTTTGCTAGATGCTGACAATATGAAGATGAGCCGTGTAAAGTTCCTCAAGTTCTGTGTGTATATGTTGTTAAAGGTGAAAACGATTAGGATAATTTTAGCATATAAGGCAACTGTTTTGTTTTCATTTTGTTTTTACAAACAGACTGAACTTATATATCTAAAGTGACCAACTTCCTTTTCAAAGTCAATACCCAAGGAAGCTATATACCAATTTCAATGATGCCTGCCAAGAAATAGTTGGAACTTTTTTGTTGGATTTGTCCTCAGAGTCTACAAAAATATGATTTTAATGTCCTCAATAATAGCAAATTTTGCCTTTTACTGATAAATTTAAGTTTTAGAAACAAGATAACCCAACATTGCAGTAAAGAACATTGGCTTTAGCACCAAACAGATTGGGTTTAAGTTCTGGTCATTTGACATTGGAAAATTTATTTCTTTTGCTGCAACTAAAACTCCTTACTTGTAAAATAAGACAGTGAGTGTAAAGCAATCAGCTTAGTACCTGGATGTCTATATTCCGAATGTTTACTTGTGTTTATGTTGTTATTGTTAATAGACTAGTAAGTGATTTGCTTGAAAGAAGTTTCAATTAAAAATGAAATCTGGCTATAAAGTAATAAGCCAAATTTTCTCCTGTGCTTAGCAAATTATTCTGAAGATTATTCCTCAGGGAAATTCCTTTGACATTCAACACATATTTGGTTGGAACAATCCTACTATGTACCTATTTCCTCATTCTCTTAATTTATAACCAAACCCTTTGCCCTAAGATATCAGCACTGAGGAATTCCTGACATAAAAATAACAATATTACCCGAAATGGCTTTTGAATTGCAGAGCTTATAAAAACACCATTTCCCTTTTAGTTTTTTTTATCGTTTTATGATTCATAGACTTTGAACTTGTTTAATCTCAAATGAACTCTCTCCCAGGAGCAAGGTCAAGTTAGTTCAATGAGGTAACGTTCACTCACTTATTTCTTTAGAACACTTAGTATTATTTCACAGGACATATCTATTTAAAATATATTTCCATATACAAGAAACACTGCTAGCAGACCAATGAACAGTTGGTTAGATCTGACTTTACAATTTTAAGTTAGGAAATATTTTATTTTAAATTTGTATTGGAAACTCATTCATTCACTCAACAGTATTAATCAAGTACCCTGTATATGTCACATATTACTCTAAGTGCTTCGTATATATCCATGAGCAAAACATACAAAAATCCCTGCCTAGGTAGAACTTATATTTGATGGTAAGAGTAGGCAGATAGATAACAACACAGTAAATAAGTGATTTTGTATGTTAAAAAGAGTAAAGTATTACGGTGAAAAACAGAGCAGGGGAAAGAGAGTGGAAGTACCAGGTGGGCAAAGTTTACAATTTTAAGTAGGATAGTCAGGGCAGACCTCATTAAGGAGATAACTTTGAGCCAAGACGGGATAGAGCAGAAGGAAAGTTTTGAGTGGTGCCATGAATATATTGGAGATCCTCGAATACTAATAATTTTAAGGTTATTTCTTTAAAATAACCTTAATTTCATGCTCTAGTTTTTCTCTCTGGATTCATAGATGTTTGAGCTTGCAAGAGAATGTAGAGGTCATCTTATCCACTTCCTTCACTACTCTGAGTCTCTGAAATGCCAAAGAACTTGACCAAAAACACACATTCAGCTAGAAAGAGGGCCAAGTTAACAACACAGGTTTTCTGACACTGAGCTTGCTGTTCATTCTATCATATTGACAGGAGGATTCTAACAGTGAGGATTTTAGATTGGCTAGCATGGGAATCCATGCTAAGGGGACAGGCGCAATCATATTCTCTAGCTATTTTACTTCACTTTTGCATCAATTTTCTGTCATCTTGATTTTATTTTTGCTCTTGACCAGCTAGACCAGCTTGTTTTAATGATCATTCTTCAGGATCTAGCAGAAGGGCTGTAGGTCCTAGAGTACATTTTATCTACTTGCCTTAGTGGTATCTGTAGTCCAAGTATCAGATACCAAAGCTGGCCAACTGAGGCCCGAGGTGGATTTTAAGGTGCAAGATTTGAAAAAAAAAATGTGAAGGAATTGCTATTACAAGTTGCACTTTGGTTGTAATTAATAATAAAAATGTATGTAAAATACCTAAAACTATATTAACACTTAAAAAATAAGGTAATGAGGCTAACGGTAGTGTAGAAACACTAGCAGAACTTAATTTATCGCATGACCTTTTCTTGAGACACAGATGAATTCTGATTCATATCTTTTTGTTGATTTCCCTTGCGTGTCTTTTCCAATGAGATATTTTGTAATTCTGCCAAATATTTGACTGTATTGTCTCTACTGTTTGAATAATATGCCCTGACCTTGTAGTTGTGTTTCTTCTAATTGGCAACAAGTCATACTGCAGTGTTCTTATGTACGAACTAGCTTTTTCTTTCTTTTTTTTTTTTTTTTTTTTTCTCAGCCAGGGTCTTGCTTGGTCACCCGGGCTGTATTGCAATGGTGCAGTCATTGCTCTCTGCAGCCTCCAACTGTTGAGCTTAAGTGATCCTCCCATCTTGGCCTCCAGAGTAGCTGGGACTACATACTACCACACCTGGCCTTTTTTTTTTTTTTTTTTTTTTTTTTCAGAGATAGAGTCTGCCTGTGTAGCCCAGGCTGGTCTTGACATTCTGGCAATCCTCTTTCAAGTGTTCATCCTGCTTCAGGCTCCCAAAATGCTGAGATTACAGGAGTCAGCCACTGCATCTGGCCTGTTCTTTTTGTTTTACTCGAATGCTATGCATTACAACCAAAGTAGTCATGCAGGCTGGGTTTATCCTTGTTACCATTGCATCATGTGGCAAAGGCAAACCTTCTTACTCTACTATAGTCAAGTTTTCCTTATTCTCCATCATCTTTGTTACTGTTTAAGACAAATAATTATAAAAATTATGTTGCAGAAATTGCCACTTGGGTGGCTCTATGCATCTCATATTTGAGAACTGCCCAGACAGAACTCTTAATCCTGCCCCCACATTGGCTTCTCATTCAGCATGCATATCTAAGTACATAACACCACTATTTACTTTGCGTCAGAAACCTGGAGGAAGGGGAGAGGTTATTGCTAGCATCCCCTTTTCCCTTACTCTCTATATCCAATTTGAATCCAGCGTCTTCTCAACAATGACAATAACTGTCCAAACCACTATATCCACCATCCATTTTCTCTTACTTGGGCTACTTTAACTAGTTTCTCCACATTTACTCTGGTCTTCTTCTAATTAACTCCCTTCGTAACAGCCAAAGTATTTGTAAAATCTACATAGGACCATATCATATCCATGGGTAAGGCCTGCAAGGGCTTCCCACTGTTCTCAGGTTCTATTCCAAAGGTCCTCAATAATCTGTCTTCTGCTTACCTCTATAGCCTCAGGCCACTTCTCCCCTTATTCCTTCATGATCCATCCACACCAGTCTTCTGTCAGCTCCTTGGAGCTTTTCTAGGCTTTATATTGCATAATGCTGAGGTTTGGGCTTCTATTGATCCTATCACCCAGAGTGCCCATTAGGATGTTTTTCAGCCCTTGCTCTCCTCCCTTCTTCCCTCCTTTTTAGGTTCCAAGTCTCTACTGTTTTCATCTTTATGTCTATGAAGACCCAGGGTTTAGCTCCAACTTACAAATAAGAACATGTGATATTTGATTTTCTTTTTCTGCATTAATTTGCTTAGGATAATGGCCTCCAGCTGCATCCACATTGCTGCAAAGGACATGATTTTTTTTTTTTTAGGGCTGTGTAGAATTCTGTGGTGTAGATGTACCACATTTTCTTTATCCAATCCACTGTTAATAAGCACCTAGGTTGATTACATGTCTTTGCTAGAAAATAGCATGTATTTTAAAAATATATTTTTAAATGCTTACAGCAAGTCTGAACTACTTGATTTATGCAGATTTGAGTTTTAGTTTTATGCATCTGTTGCAAATAAAATAATCAGGGTATGAAGTTTCTCAAAGGAATTGTTTTTTATTACATTATTTTATTTTAGATTTTCATAGCATGCTGCAGATGGCTTCTGCACTCCAGTTCTAAGAATTTTATAACAACTAAATTTAACAAATATTTATAGAGCAATTGCACTGAGCATGCTAGATATAGAGATAAATTTAATTATTGACCTTAAAGGAGCTTCTAATACACTTGAGGAGAGAAAATAAAACAACTAATTTTTATTGAGCTCTAAAGTCAGGTTTTCCCACTGAATCTTGGCACAGGTAGTATTATGATTATCTTCATTTTAAAGAAGAGGGAACTAAGATTCAATGAGTTGCAAAGTGAGTGGCAGGACTGATTTGTCTGAGCTCCTTATAGATTCTGGATATTAGTCCTTTGTTGAATGCATAATTTACAAATATTTTCTCCCATTCTGTAGGTTGTCTGTTTATTCTGATGATTGTTTCTTTTGCTGTGCAGAAGCTTTTTAGTTTAATTAGGTACAATTTATTTATTTTCATTTTAGTTGAATTTGCTTTTAGGGTCTTAGTCATAAATTCTTTGCCCAGGCCAATGTCCAGAAGAGTTTTTCCTAGGTTTCCTTCTAGAATTTTTATGGTTTCAGGTCCTAGACATAAGTATTTAATCCATGTTGAGTTAATTTTTATATGTGATGAGAGATAGGGATCCAGTTTCATTCTTGTACATGTGACTATCCAATTTTCTCAGCACCGTTTATTGAATAGGGTGTCCTTTCCCCAATCATGATTTTGTGTGCTTTGTCAAAGATCAGTTGGCTGTAAGTATTTGGCTTTATTTCTGGGGTCTCTATTCTGTTCTATTGGTCTATATATCTACTTTTATACCAGTACCATGCTGTTTTGGTTACTATAATCGTATAGTATAATTTGAAGTTGTGTAATGTGATGCTTCCAGATTTGTTCTTTTTACTTAGGATTGCTTTGGCTATTTGTGTTCCTTTTTGGTTTCATATAAATTTTAGGATCGTTTTTTCTAATTCTGTGAAAAGTGATGTTGGTATTTTGATAGGAATTGCACTGAACTTTTAGATTACTTTGGGCAGTGTGGTCATTTTCACAGTATTGATTTTTCTAATCTGTGAGCATGGGATGTATTTCCATTTGTTTGTGCCATCTATGATTTCTTTCTGCAGTGTTTCATAGTTGTTCCTTTAGAGATCTTTCACCTCCTTGGTTAAGAATATTCCTAGGTTTTGGTGGGTTTTTTTTTTTTTTTTAATCTATTGTAAGGGGGATTGGGTTCTTGATTTGATTCTCAGCTTGGTCATTGGTGCATAGCAGTGCTACTGATTTATGTACATTGATTTTGTAACCTGAGACTTTACTAAACTTATTTATCAGATGTAGAAGTATTTTGGAGGAGGCTTTAGGGTTTTCTAGGCATAAGACCATATCATTGATGAGATAATTTGGCTTCCTCTTTTCCAATTTGAATGTCCTTTATTTCTTTTTTTTTTTTTTTTTTTTTTTTGCCTGATTGCTCTGGCAAGGACTTTCGATTTCTCAAAATTTAAAAGAGAACTACCAATTGGCCCAGCAATCCCATTACCAGGTATATACCCAAAGGAGAATAAATTGTTCTACCAAAAAGACATATGTGCTTATATGTTCATTGCAGTGCTATTCACAATAACAAAGACATAGGATTAACCAAGATGCCCATCAATGGTGGACTGAATAAAGAAAATGTGACACATATACGCCATGGAATACTACAGAGCCATAAAAAAAGAACAAAATCATGTCTTTTGCTGCAACAAGGCCATTATCCTAAGTGAATTAACACAGAAACAGAAAACTAAGTACCACATGCTTTCATTTACAAATGGGAGCCAAATATTGGGTACTCAGACATAAAGATGTCAACAATAGATACTGGAGTCTACTAAAGAGGGAGAGAGGGAGGGGAGCAAGAGTTGATCTATTGGGAACTATGCTCACTACCTGGGCCATGGGATCTTTCATAACCTTAACCTCAGCATTATACAATATACCCATGTAACAAACCTGCACATATACCTTCTGTATCTAAAATAAAAGTTGAGATTATTTTTAAAATACTTCCCTTAGCCATAAAACCTATGTTCCTTTAGTCAAAAATGGATCTATAAAAAGAAATTACCAGTTTTGGAAAGTTTATTCTTATTTATTAATCTAGACAAACTTGGTTTGTGTTAAATTATCCTTTAGTTTTATGATAATATTTAATATCCTCTATTTTTGGACAAACAATTCTAAATATTGTATTTTTTTTTTTACTTTATGAAGTTAGTTCTCTACTATAAACCAAAATAATTATAATATGATGAGTGAAGAATCTCATGCCTGTAATCCCAGTGCTTTGAGAGGCCAAAGCAGGAAGATTGCTTGAGGCCAGGAGTTCAAGACAAGCCTGGGCAACATAGTGAGACCCTGTCTCTAAAGAAAAATTAACAAATTAGCCAGATGTGGTGGCATGCACCTGTATTCTTAGCTACTAGGGATGCTGAGGCAGGAAGATTACTTAAGCCCAGAAATTTGAGGTTACAGTGAGCAATCATGCCACTGCACTACAGCCTGAGCAACAGAGCAAGACTCTATCTCAGAAAAGAAAGAAAAAGGGAAAGAAAGAAAGAAGAAAGAGAGAAAGAGAAAGAAAGAGAGAAAGAATGAAAGAAAGAGAAAGAAAGGGAAAGAAACAAGCTTGACTAATATTTATGTGTGATAGATTACAGCATCTTCTAGTTTATGGCATTTCAGTTCATGACCTTGCATCACAAAGCATCAGATTAAATAAAGATATTTTTCAAGATGAATCTTGTGTAACAAGAGTGTTGCGATCTAAAATAAAGCAAACTGAGATGTGTTAATAGACAGCCTGTTTAGATATTTAGAATTACTATTGGCTTTGGCTTTTATTCTTGTTACATTGTTTCCTGTCTCTCCTGCTAATATCCAGTTTAATAGCATGTTTAGGTACTTATAATAATTACTAATGGTTTTGCCTTTTATTCTTTTTGTTTGTTTGTTTGTTTTTGTGTGTGTAGGTGTTTTTTTTTGGTGGGGGGGGCCGGGGAACGGAGTCATGCTCTGCTGCCCAGGCTGGAGTGCGGTGGCACCATCTCAGCTCACTGCAAGCTCTGCCTCCCAGGTTCATGCCATTCTCCTGCCTCAGCCTCCCGAGTAGCTGGACTAGAGGTGCCCGCCACCATGTCCTGCTAAATTTTTTGTATTTTTAGTAGAGACGGGGTTTCACCGTGTTAGCCAGGATGGTCTTGATCTCCTGACCCGCCCGCCTCGGCCTCCCAAAGTGATGGAATTACAGGTGTGAGCCCCTGCGCCCAGCCTTGCCTTTTATTCTTATTGCATTGTTTCTTATCTCTCCTGCTACACTATACATTCACAAAGGAAGGAGCTCTGTCTATCTTGTCCACTTCTATAATCCCCAAAAGCCTCTACACAGAGTAAGGGCTTCCTCAATATTGGTTCAATTAATGGATAAATAAGGTTGTGCTGTGTGTTTAGTCCACTGAGAGTTAACAAGAGGCCAGTGTGGCTGGAGTGGTGTAACCAAAGGAAAAGAGCAGTAGGAGATGATGTCAGAGAAGTGACATATGGTTAGATCCTGCAGGATGTGTAGGCTATCTTGAGGACTTCGTCACTCTGAGTGAGAGAGAAAACCATTGAAGAGTTTGGAGCAGAGAAGTAACATAATCTCATCACTCTGGCTACTAAATTGAAATCAGACTGTAGGGAGCCAAGGGCAGAAACAGCTGGAAGCTGGGAAGCTGTTTCAATGATCCAGGTGAGCCCAGGGGAGTGTAATAGTGGGAATAATGAAAAGTGCTTAGACTCTGGATATATTTTGAGGGTAGCACCAACAAGATTGCAAAAGGCCTTACATGCCATGATAATATAATTTGTAGACTTTGTGATACAGTTGTTAAAATAGCCTATTAATAAGAAGTGATCAAAGGAGAAAGGAAAAGAAGGGTAAGAAGCCATATCAGAATCTCTAGGGTTTAAGTTTGAAAGGTGCATTTAATCTGATTTCCTATTGGAAAAAAATGATTTTTGAACACAAACTACAGAGAGTAAAAATCTACCAAATATTTTTTCCTGATGGGGATGGTGAGATATTCAGAAGACTGAGAAAGCAAGCATTGAGGAGAGCATAACAAGCTCATGCGTGGCTTTGCTAATACTTAAGTTCATAGTAAATAGAAGGTACAATTTATACCTTTATAGCTATTGCCTAGTATAAGATACTTTAAGGTAGATTTTAACATAAAGTTATATTTTATAGTAGTGGTATAAAATAATAAGCATCTACCTTCTAAAATTATGTACCTGAGTGTTATTTATATCCAAAATGGTATTGTCTATTACTCGGAATAATAAGATATCTTAAATATCAGTATTCTGGGCTATTGTTAGTTTGTTGTGATTTCTGCATTGTGAGGCATTGGACATCTTGTGCAGAGTGAATATATATAAGAAAAGCATGAAGATAATCCAAGAAACCTTTTTCGTCAAACCTGAAAGACTATAAAGCGTTTGTTATAAGACTATGAAGAAGGGGAAATATGTGATAAGAAGTGATGGATGTTTTGTGCAATCTGGAGCTGACACAATTTCTTGGTTTTGTTTTGTTTTAAGCAGAAACAATGTTAAGGTCAAAATCATGGAGCTCTTGCCAAGCCATCAGACTTGATATTCACTGGAATATCTTAAGGAAGGACAACTAATGAAAACAGCTAACAATTCTGCAGCACTTGCTACACATCATGCCCTAAGAGTTTCGTTTATGATCATGGTATCTCCCCACCAGGTAAATATCAGAGTTTCATTAGTTACTCATTTATCTTGTCCCAGCTCCTGTGAAATTACCATATGTACTATCATTATTATCCCAACCTTAGAGATCAGAAAACCAAAGTACATAGAAATTATACAGTTTTCCCAAGGTCATATAATTCATGAAGAGCAAAACTAAGAGCCATTTGTATATGCTCTTCCCTTGTGATAAGGGCAGCTAGAATTGGTCTAGAGACCAACTGGTCTCTTCTCTTGTGATAAGAAACCAATTGGTCTCTTCCCTTATGATAAGGGCAGCTAGAATTGGTCTGTCTCTTCATCTAAGAGATAGCAAGCAAACTTGCACAAATTATTGGTGAGGCCTAGTAGGGAATGGGTTTGTGTGACAAGGGGAGGAGAGATGAGCTCATGGGAGTGGGATACAAGTTGATTTGGGTTATATATTCTATGTAGCCCATGAAATTAGAGTTCTTCCTGAGCCTGCAATCTGGGAATCACAAAATTAGTAAAATGAGATTATCTAGATCTGTTGACTTGGATACCTTTAAGTGGTTGAAGACATGGATCTGTTTGCTAAATTTCACTTAAGGGAAGAGAGAACTCATGCATAACCAGGCAATCTTATACTCAGATATTCCCTTTAAACATTGTCAGTTGTCCAAAAAATTCTTATCTGTTCTCCAATGTACTTTTCTTTTTGATAGAAGATAACAAAGTCCCAGAAAACCAAAACTTTGGTAATGTGTATGTCAAGGATCCCCATATATTATAAAGGAGATGTTTTCTGAGAACCTCACTGTGTTAAAGTTTAGAAAACATTTAACAATGACAACATGTGTCCTTCCATCTGAGGCAAAACACAGCACATTGTTGAAAAAGGAGCAGAGTGACTATTGTTTGTCTTCTTCTGTAGAGTACAACTAGGCTCAGTACATGAGATTGCACATTACTGCCACCTATTATCAGGAACTTACTAAAGTTTTAAAACAAGAACTAGAGCTTCCAATCACAAAGACTGTAGTCCTAAGTCTTTAGGGAAGCTAAAGAAATCTTGCATTCGGAGTGCTGTGAAATCATTTTGGGGCAGCAGTTTGTACTTAATGTTCTCCACCATTCTCCACATGGCAGCCAGAATGAGCATTTCAAAACTCAGATCTGATCTTGTAAGCCTTTGGTTTCAAACTGTTCCAAGGGCTTCTCAACATTCTTAGGATAAAGATGAAAATGTTTAATGTGATCAGTGAGCCTGTGAATAAAACAAATCCTATCTTCCTCTCTGGCCTTCTGTCTAGCCATACTCTCCTGATCCTCCTTACTCTCTGAGCTCCAGCCACATTAACTTCAGGCACAGTGTATTTCCTCCAGCCACAGGCCATTTGTACATACTCTTCCTCTGCCTGGATAGTTTCTCCTACCTCGAGCTGCTTTACCTAGTTCACTCCTATTCTTCCTTCATACCAGAATTCAGTCATTACTTCCTTCCCTGGCACCCTTGCAGGGCAAGAGTGTTGTCTAATTCCGGGGGCCCTGTTGACATTATCTTCTGTAGGAATAGTGCCTCCTGGAGTCCTGCCCCAACTTCTTTTATATGTTCTTCTCTCCTTTGGAACATTTATCATACGGTATAAATATGTATATGTTGATTTCTTTAGGTTTTGATACCTCTCTCTCCCATCTAAATCTTAAGCTCTATGAGAGCAGGAATTTTTGCTCACCATTGTACACCCACAGTATAGCATAGTGTCTGTCACTTAATGGGCAACTAAAAAATATTTATTGAATAAATAAATACAACAAATGTTTGGGGACTACCAGTAGGCTGATAGTCTTGGAGACTACCAGGAGGTTAATAGTCGCTTTGAATTTAGCTGTATCCAAATTCCTATAAGCCTATCAATAGAAATAGTTTTGGTTGGGGAGGACAATGCCAGGTTAACAGACACTTAATATACATCTCTGTAGAGAATGTGTTCCTTCTTTCACCACTGTGGTTCACAGATTTCTAAAATGGTCCTTATGATCTTGGCTCCCTGGTATTACTCCTGTGATTACATTACTTTGCAAAGCAAAGGGATCTTGCAGATGTAATTAAGGTTACTAATCAGTTGACCTTGAGATAGGGAGATTATCTAGGTAGGCGAAATCTAATCACATGAGCCCTTTAAAAGCAGAGAGAATTCTTTAGTTAGGGGTAGAAGAAGTCAGAAATTTGAATCATGAAATTTGATAGATGGAGGAAGCCATATGCAATGGGCTTCACAGCAACACTCAGTCAAAAGCCAGCCGGAAATCAGGGACCCCACTCTTACAACTACAATGGGATTCTACCAACAACTTGAATGAGCTTGGAAGTAGATTCTTTCCCAGAGTCTCCAGTTGAGGACATAGCTTAACTGAAACCTTGATTTCAGCCTTAGGAACCCCTGAGCAGAAAACCCACCTGTGCTGTGCCAGACTTCTGACCTACAGAACTTTCAGCTAATAAATGGGTGTTTTTAAACCATCTGTTTGTGTAATTTGTTATACAACAATAGAAAACTAATATAACTGCTAAACATTGGCTTCCAAATTTGTCAGTAAATATTTGAGAAGATATTAACCTCACTATCAAGGTCAATTATATAAACCACAATGAATGAAATGTAAGCTTGGCTGGGCACAGTGGCTCACACCCATAATCTCAGCACTTTGGGAGGCCAAGTGGGCAGATCACTTGAGGTCATGAGTTTGAGACCAGCCTGGCCAACATGCCGAAACCCCGTCTCTACAAAAAATACAAAAATTAGCTGGGTATGGTGGCACATGCTTGTATTCCCAGATACTCAGGAGGCTGAGGCAGGAGAATCACTTGAACCCAGGAGGCAGAGGTTGCAGTGAGCCAAGACTGTGCCACTGTACTCCAGCCTGGGTGATAGAGCAAAACTCCATCTCAAAAAAAAAAAAAAAAAGTAAACTTGACAAATATCTGAATGATAACCACAACATTCTTCTTTTTCTTACTAAGGTTTATTGGTTGACACAGGTAAATATACTTGGCCAAATTTATGAGTTGAAGATTGCTGCTGTCCAATTTTTGAACACTAAGCAGAAATCGTACTGACTGTAAACTTATTTTTATATATACACACACACAAACACATGTGTGTGTGTGTGTGTGTATATATATATATATATGAATAAACTGACCTTGAGATTTCAAGAGGAATCATTAATGCCATTGTCATTTTGACATATTTTGATCCTGAAAGTTCAAGGGGCGATCATTAATATCATTGTCATTTTGTTATATTTTAAGCTTGCATAAGCAGAATTCAGCCGTGGATATAGTAAATTGGTACTAAAATGTCTTTTAATCCTCTTAAAGATTACTTGTGGATTACTGAGAGATTGCTTGTGGATTATTGAGGGAACATTTTCTTAAAAATTATTTTATGAGAAAAAGTCTCATTTAGTCTATCCATAGGAAAAATCAAAACAAGATTTTTCTTGACATCATAGCTGAAAATCCTGTTTAGACGTTTGTGAGTAACTCATTTTTTTCTTTTCTTTTTTTTTCTTTCTTTCTTTTTTTTAGACAGAGTCTCGCTCTGTTGCCCAGGCTGGACTGCAATGGCACGATCTTGACTCACTGCAACCTCCACCTTGCGGGTTCAAGTAATTCTTCTGCTCACCCTCCTGAGTAGCTGGGACTACAGGCGCGTGCCACCACACCCAGCTAATTTTTGTATTTTTAGTAGAGACAGTGTTTCACCATGGTGGTCAGGCTCGTCTCGAACTCCTGACCTCATGATCCACCCACCTCGGCCTCACAAAGTGCTGGGATTACAGGCGAGTAACTCGTTTCTAATTGATGTTTAGTCTTTGCCAAAATATCTTCAATAGGGTTTTTTTTTCTAAAGAGTTTGCATTTGAATCCGTTGCATGAGATAATTTACAGAAAATTACTTCGTGGAATTGGTATTCCAGTATTTTAGTTTTGAAAGCAAATTCTTAATGTTAAAGAGATTTACGTGTTGTTCCACTAACTTCACCATTAATCTTTATTTTTCTGAGCTAGTGCCTAGAAAACCAACAGAATCATAACAAAAAATGGGTAAACACTTTTATAATCTAAGCACAGAAAATCTTTTCTAAGATTCATGTGAAAACCAAAAATTATAAAAGTAAAAATACAAAAATTTGACTGCATAAAAATCAAACCAACAGAATCTGAAAATTTATTAAAAACAATAAATACATGTTAAAAGGTGATTGTGCAAAAATGTATAGCTTTCCTGTGTAAATATTGCAACTATTTAGGAAGTGTAGTGGAAAAAAAGAACCCTACTCATACAAAAAACCTTACTCATAATACCAGTCCGAAACTCCATGATAAAACTATGAAACGCCACCAAGTGAAATAAAAAAAAAATGTGAAGAAATAGACATACTGTCATCTTAGATCATTGCAAATATTGGGAAGATGTTAATTTTACCTAATCTATAAATATCATGCAATTCTAATTAGAATCCCTATAGGCTTTTCTTGGTGAGAGAGATGTGTCAAAATGATTCTTACGTTTCTATGGAAGAACAGACATTCCAGAATTACCTAAGAACATTCTGAAAGAGAATAATTAGGGAACACTAACCTTACGAGATGTTAAAAATAATTACCAGGCTTTGCCACTTATTAGATTTTGGTACCACTAGCTCATAAATGATAAATCAATGGATGAAAATAGAAAATCCAGCAGTAGACTAAAATTGTATACATTTAGTACCTGACAAAGGTAGCATTTTATATCAGTGGGAAAGTATGCATTATTTAATACTAGCATTAGATAAGTATTGACTGTTTGGAAAAATTAGGCTCTTTCACCAATTGACTCTTACACAAAGATAACTCTATAAATATCAAATATGTGAATGCAAAAACACTACAGAAAAATTGGTAAACACTTTTATTATCTTACCATACAGAAGCTTTTCTAAACATTGTGTGAAAACCAGAAATTATTAAAAAAACGAAAATTTGATTGCATAAAAATTCAAAATTTCTATGGGAAACAAATCATAAACAAATACAAACACATAGTAACAGATTGGTGAGAAAATATATTGACTGTGTGTAGAATAAACTGATTTAGGTAAAATTAAGTATATATTTCTCTTTTGTATGTCTGGAGACCTATCCAAAAAAAGTTGTTGTGAAACATTAATGTTAGCTGTTTCTATGGATTTATTATCATGGGCACAATTCTTTATTAAAATGCAACCTTGTTATTTAATTATTTCATGATAAATTTAATATTGGCAGTAAGGCAAAGATGGATCATTTAATAAATAGAATTGGGACAGTGGTTAATCATTGGAACAATGAAGTTATATTCTAATTTCATACCTTCACATAGTGCAAATAGGTTAACTATTTTTGATATAAAAAAGTAACCATAAAGTATATAATCTTGGAGGTGGCAAAGGCTATTCTAAAATGATCAAAGGAAAAACCAATAAAGGAAAATATTGATGAATTTCATTTATATAAAATTTTTTAAACATCTCTTTATAAATAACTCACACCATAGGTAAGGCAAACAACGAACTGGGAAAAGTATTTGCCATACATACAATAAACAAATATGATCATGAGCCACTATAATGAAGACTAATATTTTTTGGAAAATATGGGTAAAGGGCATGAACGGGCAAAACATAAATGAACAATAAGTGCACAAAATAAATGTGCATTTTCATTACTAATGAAAAACAAGTTAAAATATCAAAAAGATATTGCTCTTTGCTTGTTATGCAGAAAAATAAAAAGAACAATAGTCCCTAGAGTGAGCAAGAGTGCAAGAAAACTTATGTACTGTTAGTAGGATGTAAATTGGTAAAACATCTCTAGGAAAAAATTTAATTTGTGGTTAAAATTATGCATATCTTTTGATTCAGAATACACTTTCTGAATAAAAAATGAAAGCCTGAGCTCCAGAATTATCTAGAGACTATATTGCATGAGTGATACAGTTGGTCAGTGTGTAAAATCCTTCTTGATTCTTAAGAACTATGTGTACAGTATGGGAGTTTTGTGTTTAAGCCTTATCTGGAGTTACTTTCTCAAAAAGGCAGTGAAACATGTTAGAAAAAACAATAAATTATGGGCCAGTCATGGTGGTGCATGCCTGTAATCCCCACACTTGAGGGGCCAAGAAGGGAGGATCGCATGAGACCGGGAGTTCATGAGCAATCTGGGCAACATAGTGAGACCTTGTCTCAGTAAAACATTTTTAAAAATAAAAAACACTAGGCAGCTGTGGTGGTGCATGCCTGTAGTCCCAGCTACTTAGGAGGCTAAGCCCTTTGAGTATCCCTTGAGCCCAGGAGTTCAAGGCCGAGGTAAGCCATGATTACCCACTGTACTCCATCTTGGGCCACAGAGTAAGACCCTGTCTTTAAAATAATAAATTTAAAAAAATAATAGATTTTCTAGCTAATGATTTAGATTTCAATCCTGGCTCTGCCATTTACTATGTGACTTTCTATATGTTACTTAATGTCTCCAAGTCTCTGTTTCCTTGTTTGTAAATGGGAGAATATAATAATACTTACTTTAGAGAACGGTTCTGATGATTAATTGATGCAATGCATACAATGTCTGGAGTCTATAATTTCTGGTTTGTTAATGCCCTTCTACATGATAAAAAATTTTAAAAAGAAAAATATCCTCTGTTCGAACTGAGGGTCAGTATTTGCCCTCCTCAAAGAAACTGTAGGACCAAATCCACTTTGTTTCAATCAGCCTTTACCCAATGACTTTTTACAGAGAACAGTTTGTGAGACCCATCAAGGTACTCTTCATTATGTGTCTGTCATAGCCTGTAATACCCACCTCACTATCCATACCCTATTAATGAGCACGCTTCGCGCTTCCTGGCCCATGACCCTGTCTGCACTCCCTTCCATGATGCTCTCTGGAACTTTTGCTCTATGACCAATACTACCTTGCATTCTCCAATTCTTTGGAATGGTCTTTCTGCTTCCTCTTCTCAACGGAAACCCATACCTCCCCTGAGTGTTCTGCTTCTCTTGACTTACTCTCACATGGACTTTTTTTTTTTAAAGCAATTTTCATACATTTTCTTCATGCTCGCTTCTGATAGTTTTTTTTTCTCTCTTGCATTACTAACCTTTCCCTCCCAGTAGATTCATTGCATCAGCTTCAAAATATGCTCAAGTCACTTCTGTGAAAAATAATGACATGATAGCAATAAAACACCAATGTCCCTCTGTTCAATATTCCCCCATACCACCACTCTTTTTTTCTCCCCTTTCATAACTTTTTAAGATTGTGTGATACTCACTTCCCACTGACTTTTTACTCACTGGAATTTGGCTTTCACATTCATTGTGCCACTGAAACAGTGCTTATTGATCTGCAGGAGTATTTTATAGAGGAAATTAGCTCTTTGTCTATGATTTGAGTTTTAAAAATGTTTTCTCGGTCTCATTTACTTTTGACTTTGCTTATGATGATACTTGATTTGTGGATTTGAAAAAATTTATATCTATCCATTTGTGGTTCATAAGCGTGATGATTGAGCTTTCACACACATGTGAGACGTGCCTCACCCAATCCTTGTTATGATGTCAGCATATTACCCATCTGACGTCAAAGTAAATAAAAATTAAAAAAACTTACATCTTCAATGTTTCTAGTTTCTTCTGTACAGATGCTGGGTTTATGGCATATTTAAAAAGTCCACTTCTCTGAGACTAGAATAAACTATGGTTTGGTGATCTCTCTGGTTTATAGCACTTTATATATACATTTTATAGTATTTTATATTTGAGGACATTTTATATGTTGCACTTGTAATTTTGTCTGTTTCGATGAGAAGAAGGAAGTTGGGAAAACGGTGAATGGGTATGTTCTGCCCATTCGGTTCTACAGAATTCCTATAAGTTAATTTAGGTATCTACTGTTTTCATAATTTTTACTGTGACTCTTTGTAAAATCTTTGAATACCTTTGTGCAATGCTTAAATAAATAAAAATAATTGAAATAGGTGCCAAAAGAAGTCCAAAAAGTAACGTGGACTCATGGAGTTCTATAATAGTATTATGCTGTGTACTGAATAAATTGATTGACAATATCCAGATTAGTAATCTAGAGGGAGAAAGAGACCCAGGACATACTACTTAGGATAAATGAGAAAAGCCTTATCAAATAAGGCCCCCATGTGGCAGTGTAATGACACTCCATACATGCAAAACAAAACAAAACAAAAAAGAAAAACACAGCTTGTTTATGGCAAAGTCTTGGTAAGCAAGTACTAACATGTCAACTAAATCCTTCTAAGAGTAACATTTGAAAAATAACGTTATGGCTGGGCGCGGCGGCTCACGCCTGTAATCCCAGCACTCTGGGAGGCCGAGAAGGGCGGATCACGAGGTCAGGAGATCGAGACCATCCTGGCTAACACGGTGAAACCCCGTCTCTACTAAAAATACAAAAAAATTAGCCGGGCGTGGTGGCAGGCGCCTGTAGTCCCAGCGACTCGGGAGGCTGAGGCAGGAGAACGGCATGAACCCGGGTGGCGGAACTTGCAGTAAGCGGAGATCCTGCCACTGCACTCCAGCCTGTGCGACTGAGCGAGACTGCGTCTCAAAAAAAAAAAAGAAAAAAGAAAAATAACACGATTACCTCATCATTTAAGATGGAGTTTTACTAAGTTTTCAGTCATAGTTCACAGTGAAAATAACATGAACATGTACTGGAGGCTAGGAAGCCAATTTTGAGGATATTAACATCTCACTTTTCTCGTTCTGTCATGACCACTCACTTTTATCTTCTTGATAAATGCTTCAGAGGCATGTGTGTTCTCTCCCTCACTCACGACACACCCAAGCATCGGTTTTTAGAAATTTTATTGATAACTGATGGTTTTCCACTCTTTTCTTTCTGCAGTTTTATCTGTGGTTAAATAATAACAACATCAATTTGAGTAGTATTTGTCATTGCCAGCGCAAATATTTTGCTGAGACTGCCTGCATAACCAGTGCATCTGTTTCCTGATGGCTACTTCTGAATCCAAACTGTTGAACTAGCAAGAAGAGACAAGTTAAGTTGTAGCTCCTAGGAAAAGAAGACTCTTTATAAGCCTCCGTGTCACAGGAGAGCAGACACGTAATGTTCTGGAAGAAGTGCACTGACTAGTCACAAACATCCATATATAGAAATTTCGCCTGCTTTTATTAACTTGAAAGATAAAGTGTAAAGTCTGACTAAATTGTTTTCTTAAAATTTTAATGTATGAATGAATATTTATCATAGCACATTAGTTAAGACTGACACTATATACGTATGGCTAGAGAGAGAGGAATATATATATATATATGTACATATATATGTATATGTACATATATATATATATAGAGAGAGAGAGAGAGAGAGAGATGGAGTCTCATTCTGTCGCCCAGGCTGAGACATATATATATATATATATATATTGTCATATATATGTGTCATATATATTGTCATATATATGTGTCATATATATTGTCATATATATGTGTCATATATATTGTCATATATATGTGTCATATATATGTCATATATATGTGTCATATATATGTCATATATATGTGTCATATATATGTCATATATATGTGTCATATATGTGTCATATATATGTGTCATATATGTGTCATATATATGTGTCGTATATGTGTCATATATATGTGTCGTATATGTGTCATATATATGTGTCATATATATGTGTCATATGTATGTGTCATATATATGTGTCATATGTATGTGTCATATATATGTGTCATATGTATGTGTCATATATGTGTCATATATATGTGTCATATATGTGTCATATATATGTGTCATATATATGTGTCATATATGTGTCATATATATGTGTCATATATATGTGTCATATATGTGTCATATATATGTGTCATATATATGTGTCATATATATGTGTCATATATATGTGTCATATATATGTGTCATATATATGTGTCATATATATGTGTCATATATATGTGTCATATATATGTGTCATATATATGTGTCATATATATGTGTCATATATATGTGTCATATATATGTGTCATATATATGTGTCATATATATGTGTCATATATATGTCATATATATGTCATATATATGTCAGAGAGAGAGAGAGAGAGAGAGATGGAGTCTCACTCTGTCGCCCAGGCTGGAGTGCACTGGCGCAGTCTCCGCTCACTGCAACCTCCGCCTCCCGGGTTCAAACGATTCTCCTGCCTCAGCCTACCGAGTAGCTGCCACTACAGGCGCGTGCCACCACACCCGGCTAATTTTTGTATTTTTAGTAGAGATGGGGTTTCACTATGTTGGTCAGGCTGGTCTCGAACTCCTGACCTCGTGATCCGCCCGCCTCAGCCTCCCAAAGTGCTGGGATTACAGGCGTCAGCCACCGCGCCCAGCCCATATATTTTTATTCTACTAAACAGAATAGTAGAATAAAATTAGACATGGTAGCTGAAAAGGATGATTTTTTGACTATTTTAAATAGAGATTTTTAAACTTTAAAAACCTCAGAAATTAGGAATTTACAACTTTATTACACAAACGTGCGTTGTTAAAACATTCAAGAGTAACAGTATGCCCTGCATTAACAGGGATAATATATAAGAAAAATAGAGATAGCCACACAAAACTATATATTCTCTGACATTCTTTGACAGAAACTTCAAAAGTAGAGGTGAAAGATACATGGATTTTGGAGCCACTGAAGCCGTGAAATTTCAGTAAAAATTATGTCAAATGTGACTTCAAATTAAATTCGAGAAACATTTATTGAGAACCTGTTCTATGTACAGCACTGTGCTAGGTCCCATAGGGAGAGTAAGTCATTTAGGATTGCACTCTAAAATCTGGGCATATTGGTGCAAAGGGAGGTGAACAGCAGGCGTAGGTGAGTGTCAGAGGACCTGACCCAAGCTGGGACCCTCCTGCAGGTAAAACGGTGGGTAGTGAGAAGCTCTAGGAAGGGGGCGCTTCCGAACACGCGCGTCGAGGAGGGCGTTCCAGGACTCTGAGGGAGCAGCCCAGCTGGACCGAGGCCGCGTCGTTCCTGGGCTTACTATTCCCAGACCCGGACTCCCGATTCCGGAGTCACGGCCCAGGACGCGAAAAGACTCTACACTGGCACCACGCTCCTCCTTAGGCGGGCCGTCAGTCCCGGGTGCGGGCTGCGCTGGAGGCTGAGGTGGGAGCGACATGGTGTGGAGGGGCAAGAAATGTCGGCACTAGACGCGCCAAGAAGGAGATTCTACGAGCAATTCCCCCCTCGGGCCATTGTGTTGCTGTTTATTAGCCCCTGGGAGGGCGTCAGGACAAAAGGAACCCTCCTCCCTTCTTAGTACTTAGGCCCAAGGTCGGGTGTGGGAGCCGGCGCGCTGCTTTCTAGGCAGGCACTGAAGCTACGGCAGCCACGCAAATAGGTATCAGCCGTTAAAGCTTGGCTACAGGCAAGGGGGGGGCAATAGGCCCCTGGCGCTGTGGGGCCCCGCATCCCACAATCCCCGCGGCTAGCCTGTGTGGCTACTGGCGGCAGCTAGCGGGCTGCGAAAGCGAGCCCAGCGTCCTTGACAGCAGCCCACGCGTCGGGGCGGGGCTTGAGCCCGCTGCTTTAAAAGGTCCGCGCGGCCGGCCCCGCCCCTCTGGTGCCGCGATTGGATCCGGCGGGGGTAGCGTTGATTTGATAGGCGCAGAGAGGGTGGGGCTGCGCACGCGAGGCCGGGGGCCTTGCCGCTGCCTCCCGGGCTGGGGCACGAGTGGCTGCGGAGTGTGGGTGGTTGGGCGTGAGGGGCCGACGGGCTCGCGCGCGCGCCGTCTGCTGAGGTCCCTCGGGAAGGAGGAGAGCGCCTGACGCCGACCCGCAGGCGCAGCCCGGCAGTCGGCGGCGCGCCGAGGGCGGAGGTGGTGCGTGCGTGCGTGTGTGTGTGTGTGTGTGTGTGTGTGTGTGTGTGTGTGTGGAGCTCGGGTGCCAAGGGCGAGCCGTCAGTCCCCGGGTGCGAGTCCCTGCTGTCTTCCACACCCTTCCTCCCTCCAGGCTCCTTTCCTACATCCTTCCCGCGCCCCCACGGTTGCGGACCGAGCGAGAACCCCCTTAAGCAGGTGTGGGGGGCGTGCGGGGTGGCACGAGACAAAAGGGGCACGGGGGTAAGCCCGCCATGGCCTCCCGGAGCCTGGGGGGCCTGAGCGGGATCCGCGGCGGTGGCGGCGGAGGCGGCAAGAAAAGCCTGAGCGCCCGCAATGCTGCGGTGGAGAGGAGGAACCTGATCACCGTGTGCAGGTACGGCAGCGCAGGGCGAGGGGAACCAGCCTCCCGCCGGGGCTGAGAGCTCTGGGCTTCCGCGCGGGTCCTTGGGGGTCCCGGGCATGATGGGCTGCCGCCCAGTGCCCCCGCCTATGTTGCGCCAGCCAAATCTGTGAGCGCGCAGCTCCTTGGACAGGGGCCCGGGTCTGGACACCGTCGCAGCCCTGGACTTTGTGTCAGTTCCAGTGCTGAAGGTACTGGAGGGTAGAGCTTGGGGCGGGGCTGGAGGAGGATTTGTTTTGAATGTGCAATCTAGCGTCAGAGTGAAAGAGGAGGGCAAGGAAGAAGAGCTCTTTCATTTAATGCCCATTCAGCTGTCAGCGAGCTTTGGATAAAGTGGTAGTTACTGTGATTGTTTACTGTGTTGCCCCCAAATCAGAGTGCATTTCGTTGTTTTGGCTTGTTTACATTATCTTCAGCCATTTCATTTCACACGTTAGTTGAGTGCCTACTACATGCCAGCCATTGTGTATGTGAGCGTGTGTGTACTATCCACTTTTCAGCTACAGTGCTAGTGCTGGTTCTGCAGTTGTTATTAAGAGTGGGACTGTGGAGGATACCTAGTCTTTATGTCAATGATTTATTTTAAGGCCTGCCTTTCCTTAATGCTTTATAACTGTAAATGTAGTATTTCCTTCAGAAAAATATAGAAACAATAAAAGAATAATTACTATTGGGCCGGGCGCGGTGGCTTACACCTGTAATCCTAGCACTTTGGGAGGCTGAGGCGGGCGGATCACGAGGTCGGAGTTCGAGACCAGCCTGGCCAACATAGTGAAACCTCGTCTCTACTAAAAATACAAAAAATTAGCCGGGCGTGGTGGCGGGCTCCTGTAATCCCAGCTACTCGGGAGGGTGAGGCAGGAGAATCGATTGAACCTGGGAGGCGGTTGCAATGAGCTGAGATAACGTCATTGCACTCCAGCCGGGACCACAGGGGGAGACTTCGTCAAAAAAAAAAAAAAAGAACTATTTATAGTAAGCCTAGTATTCAGAGATAACTGGTTTTTAACATGCTGATATATTTTCTTTAAGTCTTATATCTGAGTATTAAGAAAAATTGAAACCCTAAGCATCAATTTCTTAGGAACTTCTCTGAGCCATTAAGTTGTTTTAAAATTACTTTCCTCCATCAGACTCCTAATCATCACCTAGTGATATTCCTCTTAAGAATCAGATGATGATGAAACTTTTTCTTCCTTTGCAATTTCTCTGTATTTTTCCGTTATTTTTCTTGTGTAAAAATGTGTCTAGCATCTTAAGTGGAATACAGATAATTATTCCAGGACTTAAATGCAATAACTCACAGTGACTTTTTAAAAAATACTTGAATTATTACAAATGTTTATCTAGCAAGAAGACCTTCTTCATTGACTGTATTTGTATAATGTAATTATTACAGCACTTTGAGTTGTAAATGGTAAAGTAATATGGTATCCGTTTAATTTGCCGTTTGTGCTGTCTAGGATGTAACTTTTTGAGACAAATAGGCTGTTAGGTGTTTTAAAATATAGGTAAATATCTTTAAAGTAGGTAAATGGAACCATAAGCAAGGCTGATTTTCTTAACCATAATATACAGACATCAAAAATTGCTTTAAAAATAAGGGTAGTTTCAACATATACAGTGCTTCTTGGGGGGTAACATATTTAATAAAAGCTCTATCAGCTTTTGTTAAACTTCACAAGGGCAGTGATTCTATCTGCTTTTTGCTTAGTCTTTTTTTTTTTTTCTTTCAAATTCTCAGTATAGCATCTAACACTCAAAAAATATTTATTGAATGAATAATTTCAGTGATGGGTACTGTTCCTTTTGCTTCTCCATTTTTGTCTTGGCTGGCTTTAGGTCATGTAATGATCATGTGTGCCCTTATCAGAGACAGTTGAAAAGAAAAGGATTTGTATTTCAACCTTATTTAAACTAAATTTTAAATTATCTTTAAGAAATTTTAGGAACGTCACACTGATTTCTGGGGACAGCTCTCTGTATTAGTTGTATTTTCATGATTGTAATTTACATAATTATTATTTTCTACTGTGAAATGAATATGTGCTAACTTTAGTTACAGTTTACACATAGATTTAGTGTAATAGCTAAAATAAGTTGTGGTTTCTGCTCTGGATTTCATTTGTATTGTTATTTATATGGATAATATTAAGGCTGTTTTTCAGATCCAAATAGTTGATGGTGCATGTAAATTATCCATGTGTAGTAATGGGGTCTATATGATAGGCTTTGTCTGAATGACTTTTACTTTTTGGAAGAAAGTCACTATAGGCCATTTGTACATTTTAAGTATCCCCATGACAAATTAAGAAAAATGAATAAAGCAGTATTTATGCATTTATTGCTAGTTTACTTTCCAGAGTCACCAAACCCTGGGTATTTCACTCATGTCTCTTATGAATTCTTTTTTTAATTTTTTATTTATTTATTTTTGAGACGGAGTCTCGCTCTGTCTCCCAGGCTGGAGAGCAGTGGCGCGATCTCGGCTCACTGCAAGCTCCGCCTCCCGGGTTCACGCCATTCTCCTGCCTCAGCCTCCTGAGTAGCTGGGACTACAGGCGCCCGCCACCACGCCCGGCTAATTTTTTGTGTTTTGTTTAGTAGAGACGGGGTTTCACCGTATTAGCCAGGATGGTCTCGATCTGCTGACCTCGTGATCCGCCCGCCTCGGCCTCCCAAAGTGCTGGGATTACAGGCGTGAGCCACCTTGCGCCCGGCCTCTTTATTTTTATATCTCAAATCAGAGATGATTTGATATTTAAGTTGGAAAGAAGTTGATCTGGTGGAAATATAACTGGGTTCTAGGTTGACTTTATCATTAACTAGTGTGCACTTTTACAAGCCATGCAACCTTTCCATTTGTTCATTTTTGTTGTCTGTAAAATAATATTGGACTAGATCATTGTTAACCTTCAATTATAGGCTTAAAATTAATAATAGCCTCCAAGCAAAAAATGTTTATATTTAGTTTTGAATTTTTCCAAATATGAGCAGGGTAATAATGATAAGATAAATGTTTATAATAGCTAAATTACGTATGTGCATTTTTCTCTATAAACAAAAATATTTTGGACTGTGCCTTTGATTTTGTAATTCTCTGCTGATGTTCTGGAAAAAATTGAACCATTTACAAAACCAAAAAAAAAAAAAGTCACCAGCATATATCATTCTAGTGTATCCACTTATACTTTCACAGTAATGTTTTTCCTTACCCCTTAAACAATTTAGGTGTATTCTCAGTTTAGGTTTAAAGTCTTCTTATGTGAGTACACAATTCTTTATGTTTAAAGCTTTATTCAAGTGCAATATATAGTTTTGAGCTTTGAAAGTGGGTTGTTTAGATAGGTAAGATAATCAGATAAAGAGCTGAATTGAATTTTGGCTCATGTGTGATTGTATATGTGTATGTAATTCATTAGTTTTTTTTAGTGAACATTTACATGTTGTAGACTAAAAACATTTGCATAGTCCTTATTTCATCAGATAAGTACTGTTTTTTCATATTTTTCACAGATTTTGGTGAAGAGATAGTAGGTCATTTGAGGACTCTAAATCTTACACACTCAACTTCAAAATATTCATACACTTGACTTTGGCTCTGAGAACCAACTAGTATTTTCCCTGTATATTCTCTATCGTTTAGAACTTCAGAAAATTAAGTTGTTAACGCCCTTCAGATTTTTTTAACTTGCATTTTTATCCATAGATAATCAGATATTAGTCATTTTTTCTGTCCTTTATAAGCTTCATTGTTTACAGAAAACCTTATATAGTCCTTTGATTTTGGTTTTGGTGGCAGAGTATTAAAATCTAAATTCTCTTTCTATGGCTTAACAATGTCTTATGAGCAAATTATTAAAATATGCACATATAAACATTTCAGAATAACACTTGTCAAACTTTTAAGTCAATACTTTTAAGAGAAACTTCCCATGCAAAGTCATAATTTTCCTGTTTTGTAGCTAGGAGGGACTAATAAGAGGAATATAAGGAGTAGTGTGATAAGCACGGTGGAGACAAGTGATGATTTCACAATTCAAGTGTTTTTAATAACATATGAATAGTCTTAGTTTTCTATAGGTCATGATATTATTTCAGAACTTGAATATTATTTCAAATTACATTAGCACCTCAGTTTTTCCATTATAGTCAAGGAATGAGAAGCTTATATTTTTATACATAACTAATATTTGAGTTAAGCTTAAAATCCTTCATCAACTGTAGTGCTTTACTCAGCATTTATTTTGGAGCGCAGGATTTGTATAACTGAAATTTATTTAAGCGCACAAGTTTAATCCACAACACATAATATTTACAATATTTTGGATGGATTGCTTTAAAAAATGATTACACGTTTCCCTACCTTCTTGACAAAGACTATACATAGAATAATGTAATCCTTATTGATGACTTTACTCTGAATCTGCCTCTATGAATATGCCCACTGTGCAGTGGTTGCCCTTGGAGACTCTTGCAGCATGTAGAGCTTTTGCCTAAGTGGCCCCAGAAGATTATGTGTTTGGAGTTCTTTGAGCTTTTGCATCCTTCTGTTTCTTCCTACCAAGTTATTTGTTATTTCTTACAACTCTTTTTATTTCTAGCAGTTCTTTTCTTTGTACTTCCCATTCTGACTTGCAGATTATAATTGGTTGTGACCTGGGAAAGTATATAACTAAACTTATCAGGTGTTTAATTTTTTTTTTTTTAAAAAGCACCCAGAGGCCTGAGTTAAGTTTAGTGAGCTTTAGAACTCTGAACTTCTTAACATTCTGGTGCTAACTAATCAGAAAAACTGTCTAGTCTATGCTTGAACTTGGTGGGAGAAATGCAGATATGTGAAATGTTATTGAATATTAATGACAGTATAATCTGTCTTATCCTGTTTTGTGTTGCTATAAAGGAATACCTGAGGTGGGGTAGTTTATAAAGAAAAGAGGTTTATTTAGCTAACAGTTCTGTAGGTTGTACAAAAACCGTGGCCCCGGCATCTGCTGAGCTTCTGGTGAGGGCTTTTGTGCTTCATCAAAACATGGTGGAGAGAGTCAAAGGGGAAGCAGGCAGGTGTGAAGAGAGACCAAACCCAAAGGGCATTCTGGTTTTTTATCAACCTACTCTTCTAGGAACTGATCCATTCTTCCTTGAGACCAATCCAGCCTTGCTAGAGTGAGAACTGGCTCACTAGTGGGTGATAAGTACCAAGCCATTCATGAAGTATCCACCCCCATGATTAGCCAAATACTTCCTGCTAGGCCCCACCTCCCAACACCATCACATTGGAGATCAAATTTCAACATGTCATTTGATGGGGGCAGACCAACCATATACAGATTGCAGCATAATCCTTTAAAGAACTTTAAATTTGTTGGCTGGGTGTGGTGGCTCATGCCTGTAATCCTAGGACTTTGGGAGGCTGAGGCAGATGGATCACCTGAGGTCAAGAGTTCGAGACCAGCCTGGCCAACATGGTGAAACCCCGTCTCTACTAAAAATACAAACAGTCAGGCGTGGTGGTGGGGGGTGGGGGGGGGGGCACCTGTAATTCCAGCGGGAGGCTGAGACAGGAGAATCACTTGAACCCTGGGGCGGAGGTTGCAGTGAGCCGAGATTCACTACTTCACCCCAGCCTGGGAGAAAGAGTGAGACTCTTGTCTCAAAAAAAAAAGAAAAAAAAAAGAACTTTAAATCCAGTGATTTACTTTTTTTGTTACTATTTGGTTGAATATGCTTGAGTATGCCTCATAAGACTGTTCATACCTTGGCTATAGTGATTATAATATTTTTGGCTAAAACTCTTTCAGTCATTTTATATGTAGTAGAACTTTGAGTTTGAGTTTGGATTCAACATTAGTTATATACCTTGGAAGCAGGTTCAGTATTATTAAATATTTCTAAGGATTCTTCATGCTCTAATTAGTAGATGCGCACAATGGAGGTAGGATGATCCTCTTTTCAACGACTAGTCCTAGAGTAGACATTTCAGCATTCACAAAAGGTCATTTTCTCTTCCCCCAACCAAACTGCATTCATATTAATTGACAACAGAGACTAGCTATCCCCCAGTCCTTTACTAGGGGGTATTTATTTTAACTTTGCTGTTGCTGCTTGATAATTGTCAAAATTTCAGTTGAGAGATGATATTCAAGGGGGAATGTTTGAAGCTTACCCACTCTTCTATTCCCTCTTACAGGTTTATAAAATATATCCCTGGGTCAGTCCAAAGCATCAGAGAGAATTGGGTATGTAGACTGCATTGCTCCACACTCTTCTATCCCCAACTGCTTTTACCCAGTTGTATATTGGAAAGATTCCATCAGTCTGCACTGAAGGTCATCATAAGAAGCAGTCACAGAGGGTCTTGAAGTTATTGTCAAGGACATTATTATGTCAAAAGGGGCTTCTTTTTTGTGAAGACTTCTGTGAGAAATCTCTGTGTTTAGTGCCAACAATTTGTATTTTCAAGCAATTGATTTATTTGTATCTACTGGACACTAATGTATAACTGACAACTTTATCTTTTTCTCATGCAGCTGTTAGAAATCTTAGTGTCAAGTCTGTAGTCAACCACTACGAGATATGTAGGACATTGTGATAATGCTTTTAGCCTTATTTCTAGCTCTACTATGCCACTATTCTTTTAATATAAATTTTTATTGACTTATACTTTCCATATAGAAAAGTATACGTAGCATAACTATGCAGCTCAATTCATTTTTGTGGTAGGGCACAATGTTGTAACTAGCACCCAAGTCAAGAGAAAGAACTGTTCAAATATCAAGACCTCCTCCTTGCTTTCTTGTAGTTAATACCCTGGTTTTTAACACCATGGTTTGTTTTGCCTTTTTAAATATTTTAAATGAATGGAATAATACAGTATAGACCTTTTTGTGTTTAGCTTATTTTGTTCAACATTATGTTTGTGAGGTTCATCCATTTTGTTGCATGTTGCTGTAGTTTGTTCATTTTCATTGCTGTATCTTATTCCATTGGATGAATATACCACAATATTTCCATTCTGTCACTGACTGTCATCTGAGTTGTTTCTACTTTTTGACTACTACTAACTAAATATTCATTCATATTTATTTTTGTGATGATATGTACATTTTTCTGTCTGATATTAGCTTGGAGTGGAATTGATGAGTCATATGGCATGCAGATATTCGGCTTCAGTAGATGTGAAAGTTTTCAAAAGGAGTTGTACCAACACTCATACTAGTGAGCATTGTGTGTAGGAGTTCCAGTTGTTCTGTATCCTAACTAATGCTTGACATTTTCTTTCATTTTAGCCAATCTTGTATGTTTGTTGGGGTGTCACATGGTGGTTTTAGTTTGCATTTTCTTGATGTCTAATGAAGTCAAGCACCTTTCCGTAAGTCTGTAGGCCATTTGGAGATTTTCTTTCATAAAATGGCAATTCAAGTCACTTAGCAACTGGAATCTCTGCTTTTTGTTTATTTTTTAGATGTGCAGTTCTTTGTACATTCTGTATGGGAATCTTTTGTTGGATACATGTAATGCAAATGTCTTCCATTTGGTGGCTTTATTTTTCACTCTGTAGTATGTTTTGATGAATAGAAATTTCTGATTGTAAAATGGCCCATAAATTTCCTTCATGGTTAATGCTTACTGTAATGTCTTTAAGAAGCCAGCCTACTCCAAAGTAATGAAAATATTCTTTTTTCTTCTAAAGCTTTATTGTTTTATTTTTACATTTATATCAACAATCCATCTGTAGTTTATTTATGATGTGAAGTACAGGAGTCAAGATTAAATATTTCCCTTAAGGAAAATCAACTGACCTAGTACCATTTATTGGAAAGACCATTGTATTAGTCTGTTCTCATGCTGCTATGAGGACATACCTGAGACTGGGTAATTTATGAAGGAAAGAGGTTTAATTGATTCATTGGTCTGCAGGGCTGGGGAGGCCTCAGGAAACTTACAAGCATGGTGGAAGGGGAAGTAAACATGTCCTTCTTCACAAAGTAGCAGGAGAGAGAAAAATGAGAACATGAGAACCAAGCAAAGGGGGAAGCCCCTTATAAAACCATCAGCTCTCGTGAGCTCTTACTCACTATCATGAGACTAGCATGGGGGAAAACATCCCCATGATTCAATTACCTCCCATCTGCTCCCTCCCATGATATGTGGGGATTATGGGAACTACAATTCAAGATGAGATTTGGGTGGGGACACAGCCAAACTATATCAACCATACTTTCTCCACTACACTCATGCATCACATTTATCTTAGGTGACTGGATAATTTGTGGTCTGTTTCTAGACTTTCTTTTTTCCAATAGTCTATTTGTCTCTCCTGAGCTAATATCGTACTAAATTAATACCTATAACTTTATATTATGTCTTGATGTGTGGTAATATAAGTTATCTAGCTTTATTTTTCAAGATTATCTTGGCTATTCTTGGCCTTTTACAAACTAAATTTTAGAATCAACTTGTCAATTTCTGTTAAAATATTTTTCTGGGATTTTTATTAAGCTTGCACTGGTACTATAAATCAGTTTTGGGAAAACTGCCATCTTTATGATATTAAGACTTACGTGCAACCCATGAACATAACCTATTTCTTTATATGTTTAAATATTCTAGAATTTTTCTCAATAATGTAGTTTTGCATATATAGATATTTTAAATCTCTTATTATATTTATTCTTGCATATTTGATATATTTTTATATTATGGTAACTGAAATCATTGAAAACTTTTCATTTTCTTGTGGTTGTTGGTATATCGATATAAATTTGACCTTTTAAAATACTGGTCTTATATCTAACAGTCTTACCAGATTTCTTTATTAATTCTAACAGATTTTTTGCAGTTAAAATTTTTTTTTCTGAGTGCACAGTCATGTCATTTGCTTATTTTATTTCTTCCTTTTTCAATCTTTATGGCTTTTCTTTTTTGTCTTATTGCACTGGCTAGGACCACTAATGCAGTGTTGCAGAAAACGTTCAAAATTTTATTATTAAATAGGATGTTTGCAGTAGGTTTTTCTTACTTCCCTTCTATTTCTAAATTGCTGAGAATTTGTATCATAAATGGATGCTTATTATTGTATTATTAAATTTTTTTTGTCTTTCAAGTAAACGTGATTTTTCTCTCTTTTGTTGTTTTCATAGTGAATTATGTTGACTTTTGCATGTTAAACCACTCTGGAATAAAAAAACAATCAGTTGTGATGTATTGTCTTTTTGACATATTTTTGCATTTAGGGTGTTAATATTTTGGGATTTTTGCATATTTATTCATGGTAGAGATTGGTATGTGATTGTCCTTTCTTATAATGTTCTTGTCTGGTTTTGTCATTAAGATTATTTGGCTTTATAAAACAAGTTAGGAAGTATGTGTTTGTGTGTGTGTGTGTGTGTGTGTGTGTGTGTGTGTTTCCTCCCCTGTTCTGTAGAAAAGTTTGTGTAAGACTGATATTTCTTTCTTAAACATTTGGAAGAATTCACCAGGGAAGCAATGTGAACCGCAAATTGTCTTTGTGGGAAATCATTTAGTAACGGAATCAATTCATTTAATAAATACTGAACAATTCAGATTTCCTGTGTCTTCTGGTATGAGTTTCAGTAGGTTTTTCAAGGAACATACCTATTTCATTTATATTGTCAATTTTTTTTTTTTTGCTGAGACTTTTCTTAATATCCTCTTAATGTCTTTTTATTGTTTGAAAGATCTGTAGTGATTTCCCATTTTTCTTTCCTGATATTATAATCTCCATTTTCCCCATTTATTTTGCTAGGCATTTATTAATTTTACCAACTTTTTCAAAGAACCAGCGTTTGACTTTGTTGAGTTTCTCTGTCGACTCGTGTTATGACTTTGTTAATTTTCTCTGTCGACTCCTCAGTTTATTTAGAAATCTATTGTCGGCTGGGCATGGTGGCTCACACCTGTAATCCCAGCACTTTGGGAGGCCAAGGCGGGTGGATCACGAGGTCAGGAGATCGAGACTATCCTGGCTAACACGGTGAAACCCCGTCTCTACTAAAAATACAAAAAATTAGCCAGGCGTGATGGCAGGCGCCTGTAGTCCCAGCTACTCCGGAGGCTGAGGCAGGAGAATGGTGTAAACCCCGGAGGCGGAGCTTGCAGTGAGAAGAGACGGCACACCACTGCACTCCAGCCTGGGCGACAGAGTGAGACTCCGTCTCAAAAAAAAAAAAAAAAAAAAAAATCTATTGTCTAACTTTCAAACAGTTGAAGGTTTTTTAGTAACCTTTTATTTGTTGATTTCGAATGAATTCTGTTGTGCAGAGAACATATTCTGAAAGATTTTGAGCTTTTGAAATTTGTTGATGCTTTATGATGCAGTATATGGTTAATTTCAACATATATTTAATATGCATTTGGAAATAATGTGTATTCTGTCATTGTTGATTGCATGATTTATATATGTCAGTTAAGTCTAGTGTTTTAATTGCCTTGTTCATGTCCTCTGTATTCTTACTTGTTTTTTGTATACTCTTTAGTATTGAGAGAGATGTGTTAAAGTCTACCTCTATGACTGTAGATTTGTCTGTTTCTCCTTTTAGTTTTGTGATTTTTACTATAAATATTTTGTTTTGTTACTAGTTTTATGGAGATTTAGAATTGTGGTCTCTTCCTAGTAGTTTGATTCATTGTCATCATGAAATGTCCCTCATTATCTCTAATAATGCTAGTGCCTTAAAGTCTGTTTTATCTGCTACTAATACAGTTATAATAGCTTTCTTTTAGCTAATGTTAATATGATGTCTCTTTTTCCATCTTTTACTTTTACTTTTGCTCTTTCTGGGCTCTTATATTTAGAGTGTCCTTGTAGGTAAGATAGGATTGAATTTTGCATTTTATGTAGTCTGATAATCTTAGTCTTTTAATTATTTAGCCCATTTTAATTAACGTTATTACTATTATATTTGGATTTATAGCTATCTTACTGTTCATTGTATGTTTGCTTTTTTCTCTTTTCTTGCCTTCTTAAATATTAATATTTTTATAGTTCCATTTATTCCATGATTCCAGTTTTTTACTTTGTGAACTTGTGAGTCATATATTCCATTTCTTTATATATGTTTATATATATTTCTATTCTTTTGGCAGTTACCTTTGGTTTATTACAGCTTAATGCAAATTGTAACTTTTACTACTTCTCCAATAGTGTTAGAACCATTTATTCCCCCACATCCTAAAACATACTTATATATATATGTGTATATATATATATATATTAAATCTTACATTATTTTATTACCATATTTTTTTACAGTAGGTATTTAGGAAATACACATTTATATTTATCCACATATTTACCCTTTCCATTTTACCTTCCTCAGTTTTGGAAAAATTTTGGTTATTATCTTCTTTTTACTTTTTATTTTTATTTTTTAGAGGTTGGGTCTTGCTGTGTTGCCCAGGCTGGAGTGCAGTAGTGCGATCATAGCTCACTGCAACCCTGAACTCCTGGGTTCCAGTGATCCTCAGCCTCCTGAGTAGCTAGGACTGCAGACATGCACCACCACACCCAGCTAATTTTTTTTTTAATTTGTAGATATAGGATCTGGCTATGTTGCCCAGGGTGGTCTCAAACTGCTGGCCTCAGGCATTCCTCCTGCCTGGGCCTCCAAAAGTGTTGGAATGACAGGCATGAGCCACCACGTGTGTCTCCATTATCTTTTTACACTCCAATTACATTATGTTAAACTTTACCAGGCCTCACTTGATTCATATTCTTTCCCATGGTTTCTATTCTTCTTTCTCTTTATGCTTCAGCTTGTATGTTTTCTATTGACTCCTTTTCTAGTTCATTAATTATGTCTTATGCTTTGTCTATTCTACTGTTTAATCCATTGAATGAGTTTTTAATTTCAGGTAGTTCCAGAATTTTTATTTGATTTTTTAAAATAGACTCTAACCCTCTGATTTTAAAAACCTGTCTTTTTACCTATGTACTTCATTTCTTCTCATCTCTTGAATGTATTACTCACATTTATCTTAAAGTTCTTATTAATTTAGAATTTTGAATTATCTTTATATCTACTTTTATGGTCTGCTTTTTCTCTCTTACTCCTTTCTTTGTCATGTATGTTCTATCTTTTGTCACATCTAGAATGTTATTGAATGCCACACAATGTTTATTAAGTTATTTCTTTAATACTTTTGTTGTTCTTTTAGTACTATCATGTTTACCCTTTTGTCAACCATTTTGTGTCAAAGTATTCATAAGAACATAGTATACAGTAGAAATAGACCACAGTGGAGTAAACAGATGGAATGCACCACTTAATTTTAGAAAGATATCGCCAACAGTTTACTAGTACCCATGGCCAATAGTGTAGGTTAATGACCACTTTGCTTTACTAGTGTTCATCTTCCTCCATAAGATTGAGTAGCAGCTGATTGCTTTCATCCAATCAGGGACTGTGCTGAATCCAGACTAGGTTTTAACCATGGTTAGTCTTGAACAACCTACAGTTTGCTCCTGGCCTTTCAGGGTTTTCAACTTGGATTTGGTATATTTTCTAGCACCCTTCCTCCAGCAAGCCAAAACAACAAAATGCACTGATTTGGGGGCGACAGTAAACAATCACAGTAACTACTGTTTACCAAAAGCTGGCCGACAGCTGTGAATGTGCACTAAATGAAAGAGCTCTTCTTCCCTGCCTTCCTCTTTTACTCTGACACTAGATTGCATATTCAAAAACAAATCCTCCAAAATACATATTGTTTTGAAAATATTTTATGAAAGAAAGAAAGTGGATATGATGCCCACATTTTGTTGTTTTAGCTAAGTAAAATGATTTATTGTCTGTTATCTCCAGTGATGGTGATTGTCTTTAGAAGAGGTTAGGAAAACAATATCCTCCAAAGATTCATATTTAACATTAGATTTTGTGATTTTTAAATCTTAGTATTTACAGAACCAAATCTTCTGTTATATTTCAGGTCTAATCTCAAAATTAATATTAATAACAATTTAAAATTTTCATAAATCAATCACAAAACATCTGTATCTTAACATGATAAGAAAATATATTTAATTTATACGTGGACGATATGCTTTTTGCAGGAAAAATATTAGATTCAGCCTTCATCACTAATAATGGAAATTTTAATTATAATAATTTTTATTTAAATTAGATTTATTTTATAGTTAAGGCTAACATTGCCAGAATTCAAACCCAAATATATCTGGTTTCAAAACATATATATATATTTTTAAAACTGTGCTGTCTTGATTGTCTGTGATACAAGTCAGCTGATGTGTGTGTTTGCATAGACAGAAACTGGGACCTTTCATTTTCGTAGCATTCTAGTGTTGATAAACCATGAAGACTATATGTTATGGTTTTTTTCTGTTCTTCACGTTGTTCTATTGCTGCTTTTAATGTCTAGCTTACTAGGAAGCTCACTATGTTAAAGTATTCTATTTGAATATTTTCATTTGTTCTTGGATAAAGAATAATTGGATTCCCAAGGGATATGTGATCCAAGTATATAAAGTGTTCTTTATTAAAATAATTTTAATTGGGAGTTCTTTCATATGAGATTAAACCAATGTATTTTAAGATAGGAAGTTTTCTTGGTTTGATGGCTTACTAATTTTAGATGAATCTTTTTGGAAAGTTTTGCCTTATTTATTTATTTATTTAACATATATATTTTATTATACTTGAAGTTCTAGGGTACATGTGCATGAAGCTGGAAACCATCATTCTCAGCAAACTGTCTTTTTTATTTTAAGAGTGTGCTTCTAACGTTATTTTTTATGTTTGGCAATCTGCTGTCATCAGTCTGCTTATATAGCAATACAAGATGTTAATAATATAGTATTTCCATTCTTAAGTGTCTAGATTAACAATTCTCTTTTAAAATAAATTTTGACAGTACAGATTGAGAAAATATTTTAAATACACATCTGTCTCTTTATTTAATTTTTAAAATTTTCCTTTTTAGAGACAGGGTCTTGCTCTGTTACACAGGCTGGAGTGTAGACGCATGACCATAGCCCACTGTAACCTTGAATTCCTGGGCTCAAGTTGTCCTCTTGCCTCAGCCTTCTGAGTTGCTTAAAATAACAGCCTCTTTCCACCATGCCTGACTAATTTTTACATTTCCTTATAGAGATGGGCTCTTGCTTTGTTGCTCAAACTCCTGACCTCAAGCCATCCTGTGGCTTCAGCTTTGCAAAGTGTTGGGATTACAGGTGTGAGCCACCACACCTGGCCCTGCTTTCTTCCTTTATTTTTAAGTTGATTTTTACATTGCGTAAAATTTTTTGAGATAATAAAATATCACGAAGAGAGTTTCATGTTTCAGGGTACAAATTTCAGGGAAGATGGTTGGGACTTTTTTTGGTTCCAATAAAAGTTTATTTACAAAAACATTTAACTAGTTGTATTAGGCCTGTGGACAACAGTCTGTAGACCCCTGCTTAAAGGATATGTGAAAGGTATTTTTTCTCATTATAAAATATTTTAAATAGATTAAAATTATATTAGAAAAGAAAGAGGAAAATACACATGATGTTTGAGAATTCTTTTTTGGGTGTGTGGGTGCGGGGCAGGGAGTCTGGCTCTGTTGCCAGGCTGGAGTGCAGTGGCATGATCTGGGCTTACTGCAACTTCTGCCTCCCAGGTTCAAGCAATTTTCCTGCCTCAGCCTCCTGAGTAGCTGGGACTGCAGGTGCATGCCGCCATGCTCAGCTGATTTTTTTTTTTTGTATTTTAGTAGAGACAGGGTTTCACCATATTGCCCAGGCTAGTCTCGAACTCCTGAGCTCAGGCAATCTGCCTGCCTCAGCCTCCCAAAGTGCTAGGATTACAGGCGTGAGCCACCACGCCCGGCCAAGAATTCGCAAGTTGCATAATATTTGAAGAAAGAAGGGAAATTACTTTTTTTGTTTGTTTCCGCTCTTTCACCCAGGCTGGAGTGCACTGGCACCATCTCGGCTCACTGCAACCTGTTCCTCCCAGGTTCAAGTGATTCGCCTGCCTCAGCCTCCTGAGTAGCTGGGACTACAAGTGTGTGCCACCATACCTGGATAATTTTTATATTTTTAGTAGAGATGGAGTTTCACCATGTTGGCCAGGCTGGTCTCAAACTCCTGACCTCAGGTGATCCACCCGCCTTGGCCTCCCAAAGTGTTGGGATTACAGGCGTGAGCCACCGTGCCCAGACCTGCAAATTGTTGATTCTGAAAAATTCTCTGTGTTTCTGATGTAAAATATAAGAGAGAAAATAGGCCTTCCAGTGAACAGATATCTCTGGGTATTGTGCTTATTATCACCTATAGTCACTGCTTATATTATGTTTGGTGTGGATTGTGTCATGTCTCTTGGAAGCCATCTCCTTGTTGATCATTGATGCTGACTGTTATTTTAATGGCAGAGGATAATTACCTCACCCCTGTGTTAGAGACTACTAACAGCAATGACATATAATAAGGAATATTGTAAATTTGGTTTGAAATAGTGGAGAGTTCTCTGTCTCATATTTTGGATACTTACGTTCTATTAAAAACATCACTCTTATTAATGACTTTAACCTTTGTGAGCCCTTTTAAGTTTTGAAATGTGATGATTCTAGATGTTTTCATGTACATTAGTTATCTTCAGATATCATTCCATATAAAGGGATATAACATGGTATAGATAAGAAGATCTATTTTATTTGAACATTTTTTTTCCTGAAGCATATTGGATAAATGGCCAAATAATATATGCTTGTTGTAAAGGGATAGGAATATAATTTTTTTTACTACTTATTCTCTCTGTGTATATATGGATATATATATATTAATGCAGAACATTAAATATTAAAGATGAATTTTCACTATAAAAATAATTTCTAATAAAAACTATAGACATTAAAGAAAATTATTTTTGATTTGTCCTCACATTTAAAATTTTTAAGTTATTTTTAATTATAATTATGTTACAAATCTATGAACTATGGAAGGAATTAATGTAATATGGATGTAATTAATATGTTTTAAACAGTTTTGGTAACCATCTCATTTCTCTTGCTATGATGACAAAGGGAAAAAGGTAGTCCATGCTTTCTTAAGTTTTAAGGTTTTAGTCACAATCATGCTTTCTTTCTTTTTTTTTTTTTTTTTTGAGACAGAGTTTTGCTCTTGTTGCTCAGGCCGGAGTGCAGTGGCACGATCTCGGATCACTGCAACCTCGACCTCCTGGGTTCAAGCGATTCTCCTACCTCAGCCTCTTGAGTAGCTGGGATTACAGGCATGTGCCACCACAACCAGCTAATTTTTTGTATTTTTAGTAGAGATGGGGTTTCATCATGTTGGCCAGGCAGGTCTTGAACTCCTGACCTCAGGTTGTCCACCTGCCTCAGCCTCCCAAAGTGCAGGTATTACAGGGTTGAGCCACCACGCCTGGCCCATTGTTTCTCATTTCTAAGCTAACAAAAATTTCCTTGGACTTTGAAGGTGGGAAAGAGAATCTTTTTAAATAGAGACATTTCAAAAACTGCATTTCAAAATCTTAATTATAAGTCTCTTTTATATAAACTTTTGATTTTTAATTTTTATGTAAAAGCTGTTACTTAGACTTGATTTGATATTTTTAGACATTCATCAAATTGTCATTTCATTATTTAAAAATCATTCCTTTTTAGGAAACAGATGACTAATATTAATGTCATCATTATCAGGAAATAGCTCAGCATCTGTGTGATATTTCTTAGATATATTAAAATTCTTTCTACAGGTTTGATTTTTATAGCACATCTTAGTTACTGTGTTATGAAGGACAGATTCTCATTACTCTGGCATATACTCATGACTAGCTATATGATTTTAGAGAAGTGAGTATTGAGTGGGAAGAATCGGTTAGCTGAAAGTGAAGCATAGACTCTAAGGGATTGATTTGCCTTCTGAAATTTTGGGTTGTGTTGGAGGGAGGAGAGCAGGATATGAATGATGAAGCAAAGCTGGAGAACATTATTTTTCTTCATTACTGACTTTGATATAATAGAAATTTTTGTAATGCTTTCTCACCCTTAAATGTCTTTATGCTTGAAAATCATAGAAATTGTGTCTAAGGATATGCTTTGGGATATTTGGACTTCGCTTTTGTTTTAGTTTTTAGTTAGCTGTTGAGTTTAAAGTAATTTAGTGCTCTGATATTTGACATTTTATGTTTTTATGACACAGATAGTATCTTCTGTAGGAACGTAACCTATGAGTAATGTAGAAAAATATTTGTGCATTTTGTTGACTACTGATTGATCCATATAGGTCTCTTGATGATATGAAAATATATGCACTAATAGCCATGGCTTTTTCTTCCCACTACATTTTACAAAGTAAATAGTTTGTTAAGTAATCTAGTGTTATTCCTGGAGAACATAGTGACTAAAATCTTATCAGACTGTTAAAGGTGGAAATTGAGTTCTAACCTAGATTTTTATTTTTGATGAATTAAGCACTTTGTTAATTTTGTTTTCAAATATAAGTTTTGGTGTATTTTATGGAGATGCATTACTATCTTAAATGGCATAATTTTTACAAGCAGTAGATTATTCCTTCCTTGAGCAGTGTGGATGCAGAGTTAGCTTTCTTATTCCATTCTACTGAATGAAGATTAGAGAAATACATTCAGAAATTTCCTTCTATTCAGGTCAAAGGTGGAGGTGGAGGTGGAGATTGTGTGCTTTTTATTTATTCATTTTAGAAACATTTCTCATTTCCTTTTCCTACACACTGTACTTATTATTTCTTATTAAAAGTTTGCCAGGGATTGGCAGCATTATTCTTGTGTATTGTCACTGAGATGGACGTAGGAAATAAAAGTTTTCAAGTCCCTTTTAAATCTGTTTTCTCTTTATCTTTTTGTTTCTATCCATTTACTATGCATTACATCTGGCATTTGTCTAACTTGACTATCCGTTAGGTACAAGAAACTAACTTTATCAGTGTTACTTCCTATATGTTATTTCCCGTTATTGCATGATAATTTATTCCATTGAGCTCCAGTTGCTGTTGTAGATAATACTATGTAGTTGAACATTAATCTATCTCAGCATTCCTCAATCAGGGTTCATCTGAACCAAAGAAGACTGAAAATTATTTGAGTGATTATATTTTCCATTATCCCATATATATGTAATGGTATGTAATTTGTATCATTCTCGTTTCATAGGAGAGTTATTTCATTACACAACAAGAATGCCATAGGGTGGCATTTCTGAAAGTGTACTTCTGGACCCAGATGCTTTCAGAGGTCCACAAAGTCAAAATTATTTTCTTAAGTATTCTAAGACATTATTTGCCTTTTAAAATTTCCATTCTCTTTTGTTGTTGTTATTGTCATTTTCTTTGTCTTTTTTATTAAAAATTCCCATTTTCTAAGAAGTGTATGCTGGAGTTTTCCAGAAGCTACATAATGTGTGCTATTATAATAGCTTGAATGCAAAAGCAGTAATATAATCTAATTGTCTTCTATTAAACACATTAAAGATATTTGCAAACATGTAAACATTGCTACATTTTTCTTTTGGAAAATATAAGTTTCATAAAAATATATTTTTATGCAACATGTAATGAATTTATTTTGTTTATAATTAGTAAATAAATGCAGGCAGTTCTTACTTTGCATGGTTCCAGTATTTCATAATTTAGTTAAGTAACATCAGTCCTACAATAACGTGGTTTCAATTTGAATTACCATTGTAATTCAGTTGTGAGTAGTTGCATAAAATACACATTTTGCCACTAGCTCTTTAGTCCACAAACCATTACATAACTAACAAATACACATCATGATCAGACACCAATAATATCACTTCTTTCAAAGTCTGTCTAGGATTTGTCCCTATGCATCTGAAAATGGATAATCAAAAAGAGTAAATTGGCCAACTTGCAGAGATGAAAGTACAGAAAAGAAATGGAAAATGATAGGCCAGGCACGGTGGCTCATGCCTGTAATCCCAACACTTTGGGAGGCCAAGGCAGGTGGATCATGAGGTCAAGAAATCGAGACCATCCTGGCTAACATGGTGAAACCCCGCCTCTACTAAAAAATACAAAAAATTAGCCGGGCTTGGTGGTGGGCGCCTGTAGTCCCAGCTACTCAGGAGGCTGAGGCAGGAGAATGGCGTGAACCGGGGTGGCATAGCTTACAGTGAGCCAAGATCACACCATTGCACTCCAGCCTGGGTGACAGAGCGAGACTCTGTCTCAAAAAAAAAAAAAAAAAGAAAGAAAGAAATGGAAAATGATAATGCTCAAAGTGAGATTTGCATGAATATAAAGGGAGTTACAGAAGAAATCATTGATCATGGGAATGTGCACATTTCTCCTGTTTAAGAGAATCTAGATATGCAGCCAAAGGAACTTAGTGGAGGCAAATGTTCATATAAAAATGAGGAAAGTGGTTGCAACAGAAAGGATGAAAATGTCCCAGAGGAAGTGACACTGACAGAACACTTCACATTAAAGGGCTTCTCAGAGGTATTTCACAGCATTGAAAGTGTAAAGGAAAACATATTGGAAGCTAGTTCAAGAAATATGGCAGTTTGCCAAAAGACAAAAAAAAAAAGAGGCTTACACTATATCTTAAGTTGTATAAATGAGAAGAATGAGGCAAGCACTGTTCAGATTACTCTTCATAAGTTTCTTACAGAGAAGTAAAACACTTGAATTCTCAGTGTTTCTAATGTTTTAAAGTGTACTAAATAAATGTTTTAGTATTTTTTATTTCCCGATATAACTGGTTGTAAGAAAGTTTTTAATGTTTTGACAAAAATTTATAAAGGTCACAGGAAAATTATAATTTTTACTTAATTATAAAGATTATTTTGCATGGTTTCAACTTGCAGAGTTACTGTTATGGTCCTGTACTGCTGTGCTAAGTGAGGACTGCCTATATTTAAAATCTTTTAGTTCAATTTCTAATATGGTGAATACTAGATATAACCTATATAAACAAATCTTTCTATATTTCCCTTTATGCCTGTCTCCTGTATTTTCTGTCCGGATTGAATAGCATAACTATCAAGAGTAAAACCTTAAAAAAAGCTTGTACTCTTTTATCTCCTTTATAGTTTTTATTTCTAATTCTTTAACAGCTCCCCTTATCTTCTTGATTCCCCACTGTCTTAGGCACTCATATACCATCCTTTATAGGATATTACTATAAAGAGCATGAGGGAGTTGTTTGAGGTGACAGGACTGTTTTGTATCCTGATTTTGATAGTGGTTATATGAATCTACACATGTTAAAACCCATAAACTATATGTTGGGTCTTGCCATGATAGGACGTTTAAACATTTATTTACCATTCTTTCAAAATAGAGCTTACAAATAAATCAACAGGTACCTACTGGGTACAACGTTCAAAGCATTGTCCTAGGTGCTGAGGGAGATACATAGTTCAGAAAGCGTGGTTCTGCCTGAAGGAATTGTGTCCTAATAAGATGAAGATTGAAAACACAAATGGTAGCAGTAAGATAAATTGTAATTTTCTCTTAAGGGAAATAAATGCAAATAAAATGTTTGTTTGTGCTAGGAATATGCAGGTGGATAATTCTCCATTGAGAAGATGACATTTGAGTTGAGACTTGGAAAATACATTGATTTTTGACAGTCAAAAATAGAGACAAAGGACATTCTGATAAGGAAAAATATAGTACACTTTACAGATTTGCAGGTTTTGCTATTTATAAGCTCATAAAAATTTTGGATGTTGAAATGGTTTGTCTGTGACCCCATCCAAATCTCATCTTGAATTGTAGCTCCCATAATTCCTATGTGTTGTGGGAGGGACTCAGTGGTAGGTAATTGAATCATGGCAGCGGGCCTTTCCCATGCTGTTCTTGTAGTAGTGAATAAGTCTCACAAGATTTGATAGTTTTATAAAGGAGAGTTCCCCTACACATGCTCTCTTGCGTGCTGCCATGTAAGACAACCCTTTACTCTTCCTTCATCTTCTGCCATAATTGTGAGGCCTTCCCAGCCATGTAGAACAGTGAGTCAATTAAATCTCTTTCCTTTATAAATTACTCAGTCACGGGTAAGTCTTTATTAGCAGTGTGAAAACAGACTAATACAGACGTATTCTTCTCATTAATGCTCACGTCCTATTTTATTCTATTTTGTGCTCAGAAACTCTCAAAAGCATTTGAGTCTGCAGCTCAAATTTCTTACAAGTAGTATTACTGTTTTTGAGTATTTTGGAGTTAATTTAGTTAGGTCACATTTTGATTTTAATGGGGACAATTAGCTATTTCTGAGTCTTAGTTTTTTCAGTAGATACTTTCTTAGTCCTTTCAGGCTGCTTTAACAAATTGTCTTAAACCAGGTAATTTATAAACAACAGAAATTTATTGCTCACAGTTCTGCAGGCTGGGAAGGCTGAGATCGGGGCACCATCAGATTGGGTGTCTGGTGAGAGCCCATTCCTCATAGATGACACCTTCTGTGTGTCTTTACATGGCAGAAGAGGCAAACAAGCTCCCTCAGGCCTCTTTTATAAGAGTACTAATTCTGTACATGAAAGCTCTGCCCTCATTATCCAATCACCTCCCAAAGGCACCCACCCTTAATACTATTGCTTTGGAGATTAGGTATCAACATATGAATTTTGGGAGTACACAAACATTCTGACCAGAGGAAATAGGAAATATATCAATAAAAAGACTCCTTTCTGTAAAAATTTCCATTTACAGAGTAAATTTGAATAAATGGGGTTTTTCAGATGTTATACTCTTGTAAAATATTTTTACAACTCTTCCCCAAATTGCCTTCCTCCCATTTTTTTCATACTTAGGGAATGAATCAACTCTGCCTAAAAGCAACAATAATCTTTTTTTCATAGGTTTTCTGTGAAGACCCTGATTGATCGGTCTTGCTTTGAGACAATTGATGATTCTTCTCCTGAATTTAACAATTTTGCAGCTATTTTGGAACAGATTTTAAGCCACCGGCTAAAAGGTAAAAGCACTAATGTACTATTTATTTTCCCACCAGCTGTCTTTATAATAAGCTTGAAATTTTAGAAATCATACAGTCTGTGTGACTTAGATAGCCAACATTCTATAATGTGAAATGTCAAATCTTTTGGCCTGTGTGACTACGAAAGAGCCTCTGTTCTCAGATTTACACCTATTTCTGGGATGCATTGAAAATGTTGTGTTAATTGCCACATACAAGGAGAAAAGTGACTTTCCATAAGTAATTAAAATAAAAGCTTAAATTGAAAGGAAGCGCATCCCAAAGGTTACTAGATGGTGTTTTAATCAATTTACAGAGAAGCATTCCAGGCATTATGTTTATTTGTTTAGCATCTACTTTCTTAAACTTAGGTATCTTTGTAAATGTTTTAGCAGGTAGTAGGTTAAAAAAGAGGTATGTAAGAGACATGCTTGTCTTTGATTTTCTTAAATCAAAAAGTATACTTACATTAGAAATATAATTCTCAACAATTTAAAGGGGAACTTGGAAGCTATACTCTCTGAATTTTAGATTCTTTAAATTAAAAAGATCTATAAAATATAGTTGCTAAAATTCAAGAAGTATTATATAGTATAAATCTTAGTAACAATAAGTACTAACTTTATCACATTAATCCCATTATCTGGTCTTCCTAAAGCAAACTTGATCATCAGATATTTTCACTTAAGTTTTTTATTATCTTTACAATCTTAATGATACAGTTTCACATCAGTAGTAGTAACTTGCTTTGGTAACATAACTTATGAGCATCTCAGGCGTACTGTGAAGATTAATTCTATTCTGTACTTTTTGATGCTGAAAGCATCCAGGTTTTAATATAAGTGTTTAAATGAGTTGAGCAGTACTGTGGGCCCAGAGCAAAGGATTGAATTGAAACTACATGGGAGAAAAAATATGAATTCATTTATCCCTCTGCAATTTAAAACGGGGTTTGTAAAATTGCTAATGCTTTTTTCTGTTAAATTTGGTTGTTTTGCATTTTAAAAGGGTTTTTTTTGTCCTTTTTGCTGTTCTGTGTTTCCTAAATTTTCTGCCATTAATGTTACCTTTTATAAGAAAATAAAATTTTTATAAAAGCAAAGGATATGGTAGTATTTTGAGATATTATTAGATACTATATTGTGTGATGATCGTATTTTTAAATTTTATGCATAAATTTATAAACAATGCCTAACTAAAAAGCATATGGAATAGAATAGACTCTGATGTACCTTGATGTTCATGAGAATTTTACCTTAAAACCTAATTCCCTTGATCTGGTATATCATTTAGCATATGATTCTCTCACAAAAACTATCAATAGAAAACTATCAATAGCAAATGAACAGTAAGGCTATGTTGAGACTCCCATGCCAAGTGGTTGGGTAGACTCACTACTATGTAAGTGGATGCCTCCTGCGCACTAATCTGCCATCTTCTGAGTTGTGCTTCAGCAAAATATAGATCACACCCCTTCAGAATTATTTCTAAACAATCAAATCCATTAATGTTATTTCTGAATAATACTATAATGCAAATAGAATCCCCAGTTGATTTATGGATAAGAATTCTACTTGTGTGACTAAGATATAGTAAGAAAGCTGATACAGTACGAATTGTGTTAATTTTTTAAGCTAGGTAAGTTAATTTAAAAATTTCTGTCAGTTGACTCTTGTGGTCACTGATATATATATATATATATATATATAGTAGGAAGTATGAAATAATCTGTAACTTTTGAGATGAGGTATTTTAAAGATCCAAGCATCTGGGACTTTCATATATTATTTCCTATTTTTTGGTATTTTAATATATAGCAAATTGCTTTTACTTTTGGAGAAGTCATGATTATTTTGATAGTACACTCTTCACTTATGATTTAGTTACATAGCAACTAATTTTTCCAGTGTTTTCCTTTACAGAAGTACAAATTAAAATTTTATAACTTTGCGTGTTTCTAAGATCTACTTTTCTACAACTACTGGTTATTTTTGAAGTAAAAGGACATTTGTTTTCAACATTAAACTTTTCCAGAGAGAGATAAAATCTCCCCCAGACACAGTATAGGCTGTGCTGATACAGGCAAAGTGAAGAGCTGAGACAGTTACTTTACTCTAAAAGCCCCGTTATTGAAGAAAAGGAGGCTTTTAAAATCAGATATATTAATATTATTTGCAGTAATCTCTCAATAAGATGTTGATCTTACTTTCCTAGGATATAGCTGAGAAATAGGAATTAATAACAATATTAGAATTGAAAGAGATCTTTGTTCAGGTCCTTCAGTAATTTTTGAACTTTTATTTATTTATTTAAAGCATAATACTTCTCTCCACCCTAACCCTACCACTCTAATAAAAGCCACTGCAAAAGCTGGATAAATATGTAGAACATTTTGTTGAAGCCAGGTTGGAGAAGTTAGGCATTTTGCCTGCTCAGCAACAATTGCAACCTATTCAAAACTCCATACATAGTACCACTTCAGCTAGCACAAAGGATCACAGATTGAGAAGCACTACTGTTTTCTAGCCTCTTTCCTGCTGAAGCAATCTACTCAACAGTATTTCTAACAGGGGGACATATAGTCTTTGCCTTAACACTTCTGATCTCTGAGAACTAAATAAAGCAGTCCATCAAGTTATTGGACAGGTTAGATTATTTGAAAATTCTTATGTATATGAAACCAACCTATCATATTGTGCTTTGGTCTTTTTTCTGCTACTTTTTTTTCAAATGCGAGCCTAATACCAATAAATATTAAAATATAGCTATTTTATAATCCTTTTCCCAAGTTCCCTCTTTTCTTTCTCCCAGGTAAGGTATTGCTAGTTTCTTTAATCTTCTGGAACCACCACAGTCTTACTTAGTCTTCTGGCTTACCACTGATTTGTTAGTATTGCTCTTAAAAATCTGGTTCTCAGAGCTGAGTAAAGTGCTTCAGATAGGCTAAACTCTGTATTAGTCAGAATTTAAGATTACATAGACTTTTGGTTCACATTGAAATTGAGGCTGAGTAAAATCCCAAGGCTTTTAAAAAATTGAACTATAGCTTATATTTTATTTCTCTAAGTTAGTTTGCCTGAGCTGAAGTTTGATAGGGATAAATGCAGTATTTTTTTTCTTCTTTTTCCACTTCAGACATAAAAACACAAATAAGTGGAAAGATATATGTGTTCATAGATTGAAAAATTAATATTGTTAAAATGTTTATATTAACAATCTACCCAACATAATCTACAGGTTCACTGAAATCTCCACCAAAATTTCAGGGTCATTTTTCACAGAAATAAAAAAGACAATCCTGAAAATTAATATGGAACCACAAAAGACCCTGACCAAAGCAATCTTGAGCAAAAAGAACAAAGCTGGAGGCATCAAAATACTTGACTTCAAAATATACTGCAAAGCTATATTAGTTAAAACAGGATGTTACCAGCATAAAAACAGACAAATAAACTAATAGAATAGAATAGAGAACCCACAAATAAATCCATGCATTTCTGGTCTATTAATTTTCAACAGAAGTGCCAAAACACACACTAGGGAAAGGACAGTCTCTTTAATAAAGGGTGTTGAGACAACTGGTTAGCCACATGTAGAAGAATGAAATTAGACCCTTCACACTACAGAAGAAAATCAACTCAAAATGCATTAAATGTAAGATCTATCTACTACAACTGTAAAATTACTAGAAGAAAACATAGGGAAAAGGCTCCATGACATTGGTCTGGGTGATGACATTTTTGGATTTGACACCACAAGCACAGGCAACTAAAGGAAAATAAACAAGTGGAATTACATCAAACTAAATTACATCATCAGAGTAAAGAGACAATTTACAAAAAGGGAAGAAATATTTAAAAACCACACATCGGATAAGGGGCTAATTTCCAAAATATATGAGGAACTCAATAGTAAGAAAATAAATAGCCTGATTTAGGCAAAGAACCTGAATAGACATTCTCAAATAAGACATTCAAATGGCCAACAGGTATATAAAAAGGTGCTCAAAATCACTATACAGCAAATAGATGAAAATTAAAACCATAGTGAGATATCCCCTCGTTAGAATGCATATTATCAAACAGCCGAAGGATAACAAGTGCTGGAGAAGATGTGGAGAAAAGGGAACCCTTGTAGTAGGAATGTAAATTTAGAACAGCCATTACAGAAAACATTATGGAGGTTCCTCAAAAAATTAAAAATAGAACTGCCATTAGTCTTCTATGTGATTAAATAAAAATAAAAATAGAACCTCCATGTAAACCAGCAATCCCACTTGTAGGTACATAGCCAAGGAAATGAAATCAGTGTCTCGAAGAGTTATCTCTACTCCCATGTTCATTGCAGGATTATTCACACTAGCTAAGATAAGGACTCAACCTAATTGTCCATCTACTGATGAGTCGATAAAAAAAAAGTTGCGTATATAAACAATGGAATGCTATTCAGCCTTTAAGAGGAAGAAAATCCTGTCATTTGTGACAACATGGATGACCCAGGAGACATTATGTTGAGTGAAATAAACCAGACACTTAAAGACAAATACTGCATGACTTCCTTATACATGGCATCTAAAAAAGTTGAATTCGTAGAAGTAGAGAGTAGAATGGTGGTTACCGTGTGCTGGAAGGAGAGGGATCAGAGAGATGTTGGTTAAAGGATATAAAAATTCAGTTAAAAGGAAATAAGTTCAAGAGATCTATTGTACAAAATGTTGACTATAGTTAAAGTGTATTGGATATTTGAAAATTCCTAAAAGAGTATATTTTCAGTGTTCTCACCAAAAAATGATAAGTATGTGAGGGCTGTGGTTTAAATGTGTCCCCTCAAATTCATATGCTGGAAACTTAACCCCCTGTCCAACAGTGCTGGGAAGTGGGGCTTTTTGGGAGGTGTTCTTAGCTCATAAGGGCAGAGCCCTCATGAGTGGATTAATACCTCTATAAAAGGGCTTGACAGAGGGAGTTTGTCCTTTTTTGCCATTTTGCTTTCTGCCATTTGGAGACACAACATTCCTTCACTCTAGAGGATGTAGTGTTCAAGGTACCACCTTGGAAGCAGAGACAGGACCCTCACTAGACCCCAAATCTGATGGTGCTTTGATCTTGGACTTCCCAGCCTCTAGAACTATGAGAAATAAATTTCAGTTATCTATAAATGACCCAGTTTTGGGTATTGTTATAGCAATACAAAAATGGACTAAGAAAGTGAGGTAATATGTATATTAATTTGTTAATTAGTACAATTTAGCCATTCCATGATATATACAAATTTCAAAACATGTATATCATATATACAATTTGTATTTGTCAATTTAAAAATTTTTAAATAATTTTTAAAAAGAAAAAATTAATACAGTTATAAGTTTATTCAAAGAAAAAAGAAGAAAGAAGAGACTAACCAGTGAAGCTAGACAATACGGTATGCATTAGTAGTATTAAGAAATCTTAGGAATTGGTTGGTTGTGGGTAGGAGAAAGCTGAGGACTGGAACGATGCAGAGATTCCAGTCTGGATGTGGTCATTACCCAGGGTGACTGAAAAAGAAGAACATGTTTAGGAAAAGAGAAAATATCAAGGTTTGTTTTGGACACTTGAGAAAAAATGATAGGAGAAGAAAGAGAAAGCAAGGGAAGATAAAGGGGGAGGAGGAAAATAGAATAAAGAAGAGAAAGACGTTAGAGGATACTCATTTTCCAAAACAGAGTTAGATTTAGTCTAAGTTGGTAGACTTAATTGATAGTTTAAAAAAAACCTAATTATTTAATTTCATTTATAGAGGAAAATCAATTGATTTGTTTTTTAACTTGTTAGTTGTATTATAGTTCACCACTATTTTTCTTCTAAACTTATTTATCCATCACTAAGCTACTTAAATTTCAAGTTACTCATTCAAAAACATAATGTAATGGATCACTATAAATGCATTTTTTCATTTATTTATTCAATTGTATTTATTGAGTATCTACTATATGCCTAGCACTGTTGTAAGTGCTGGGCATACAGTAGGGAATTAAACAAAAATCCCTGCCCTCATTCATAGCTTCTATCATATCAAATGGTGGGAGGGAAATGCAATTTAGGAAGACTTGTACCTCTGGGAAGATGAACATGACATACTTTCCCCTATTTCTCTCACTAAGTACAATAATAAACCCTGGGCATTATACATAAAACAAACATAAGAAGACTCTGAAAGGTAGCGAGTAGAAGAAAGACTGGTTAAGGACACTAGAACCTTAGGAATGACACAGTAGTGGGTTGCCTGGATTTACTTTTTACCTCATATATCCCAGACTGGGTGTTGGATAAGCCAGGAACCTGCAAATTTCAACAGGCAAAGGGAAAAAAACAACAACAATGAAAACCTCTCCACAAGATACTATTCTCTCTAGCCAAAGGACCAGAGAAAGAACAGCCTAGCAAAACAGAAAACTTTTCAGCCGTATCTGCTCTACTTTAAACATCACACAAAAAAACCGTAGTACCACCTACTCTTAAAAAAGGCTGAATGGGAAGCTTAGAATTCCGCCCTCCTGAGGCTATAACAGTGTCCCAGTACCACCATTAGGGTTGTATCAGAGAAGGCCAGAGAGATAAGATTTCTTCCCTCTTGGCTGGTCAAAAACTCTCTCTCTCTTCCCCAACACCCCCCTTCCCACAATGTTGACGGAACACCACACTGTGGAGCCTAGGCTGCCATCTTCATCCAAAAGTAATGTGCTGGTTCCTGGCCATACTGGGGTGGGGTCAGAAGAGGCCTGTTAGAGAGTTATGTCTTTCACTGTCACCCAGTGGTAAGGAGGCCACCCCAAGTACCATGCCAGTGGAAACCATGTAGGAAGCCTGGACTCCAAGTCCCACACAGTAGTAATGAGGATGCCCTTATTGGGTGTCAGTGGAAGCCAATTGGGAAACTTGAACTTCATCCTCCACTTGGCAGTAATGAAGCAATGCCCCCCTCCCACCTTCCCCTGTGGGAGCAGTGTCACAAAAAGCTAGTTAAAACAGAAGGTTTAAATAAGATCCAGAGTTTCATAACATAATATAAATATGTCCAGCTTTCCATTGAAACCATTTGTCATACCAAGAACCAGGAAGATCTCAGATTGCATAATAAAAGATAGTCAATAGATGTCAACACTGAGATGACAGAGGTGTTAGAATCACTGACAAAGATTTTAAAGCATCCATGATTAAAATGCTTTGAGCAATACATGTGAGAAACAAATGAAAAAGTAGAAATCCACAGCAAAGAAATGGAAGATACAAAGAAGACCAAAATGGAAATTTGGTGCTGAAAAAATATGAAACTGAAAAAGTTCAGTGGATGGACCCAACAGGAAAATGGGAGTTAC